>NC_000010.11:82264307-82415822 GCF_000001405.40 Homo sapiens
GAAAGAATGAGTGCTGAGCAAGGGGGAAACCCCTTATAAAACCATTAGGTCTCAGAACTCACTAGTGATCATGAGAACAGCCCGGGGGAAACTGCGACCCCCACTCCCGCCCCGCCCGATTCAATTATCTCCACCCGGTCCTGCCCTTGACACATGGGGATTATTACAATTGAAGGTGAGATTTGGGTGGGGACACAGAGCCAAACCATATAATCCTTGTTGTGGAAATGTTATTTAAACCCACAGACTGGATAAGCTCACCAAAGGCGTATGTGTACATGGAGTAAAGGGAAGAATGACTGAACTTTGAGGCACATCATCTTTAAAAGTCGGGAAAAGGAAGATTTAACAATGTTGCCAATGAAGGAGCAGGGAAAGAAGCCACAGGCAGGGAGAGAAATCAGAAAATGAGGACATCCTAATGGCCAAGGCGGGAAAATATTTCAAGAATGGAGGGATCAATCATGACAAGTGCCACTGAGAGGTCAGGTAAAATGAGAACTGAGAATTGCCTGTTGGACACTTAAGGAGAATGACTTTGAGCTTTGTGAAATAAAAGCCTGCCTGGAATGGGTACAAAAGAGAGAAGGGAGGGAAGTGAGCCAGTGAGTACAAACAAGTCTTGCCTTTCACTTGATCAGGAGGCAAGATAGCATATTCTGCTACAGATGAAGTGAAGTGGGTTGACTTGGTGGTAGAAGGCTAAGGAAGTTCTCTCAGCAAGTTAACTAGGTGAGAATGAGGGGTGTGTGTGTATGTAGTGCCAGAGATGTGGGGAGAGAATAAAAGGTGTGAGAAAGTCACCCTTGATAATAAGATAGTAAATTAACCACCAAAATTGGGGCCGCCAGTGCCAAGAACTCACTTGAGGGCTCTAATTATAAATTTATAGTAAGACCAGTCAGCAGAGTCATTCGTTTTTATCTGCATCATGATACATGTAAGGAGGTGACAGAGATCTGCTGAAACCCAACTTGGGATTTTGACAATGGAAGGACAGAAGTGTGGGGATGTTCAACTGGATTTATGTAAGGTATTATAATGATGGGAAATGAAATCTAAATCAGCTAAGAAAGAAAATGAGAGCACGAGGAAGGTTATGGACGATGGCACTGTAATGTATTATAGTCAATGGATTGGAGATCCCAAGAGGTCAAGAAACAACTAAAGTGACAGTGAATATACTAGGGTAAGAAAGCTTGAAAGTTACAAGGTAGTAAAGTGTCTGAAATTGTTATTTTTGGATGTGGCGTAATAATAGATAACGATGAGTTCTGAAGTATGATTAATTAAGGTAAAATATAGGACATGAACATTGGAGAATGGCTGGTTAACAAACTGAGAAACCATTTTCATGGTTGGACCATCTACATGCTTACTGACATCACCAACAATTATGGCAGTAGCCTTATGTTAAAATCAATGCCAGATGCCAATATCATCAGAGGATGGTGGTGGGGAGGCTATCAGAAGACTGTAAATGATGGAAACCAGAAGCATTCATTGATAGTGAAGTTTTGCATTTTAGGGTATGAAGAAGAAAAGAAGGAAAATGTCTTGGAAGTAACAATTCGGAGCATGAATTGTCCCTATACAAACTCCAAGACTTGTGGCATGTGGAGAATTAAAGGAATAGAGAACAAAATTCATCCTTTAATAGGGCTTCAGAGAAAAGTTCTTAGGCGCCAATTGATTTTCTCTTCAAGAAGGGAAGGACATATTCAGAGATGAGATTTTCATGATGGCATGCCTTGAGTGCCAGAGGGTTTGGGGAGTATAGAAGATGTAGGAGCTTGAGTCCCACTAAGGGATCTTCAAAATAGTGTATGCTTATGGGACCAATGAATACAGTTCATCTGGAACACTTGTGTTCCCTGCCGGGATTGATAAAATACAGGGTCTAATGGGATTGAGCCTATTGGTCTCAGTTATGGTGGTTCAAGGGGCAGTCGGGGAGGGTGTGTTCTATTATAATCCCATTGGAGTAATGGTCTTAGTCCATTTTGAAAGGTAAAGCGGAGTTGGAGAATGCGGGTGGTTAGTGATCACCTGGACATGTGGAGCTCGTAAGTAATATGGGGGCTACAGCGTGCAGAGTCCAGTGGGCCTACATTTGACCTTCCTGTGAGCAGTACTGAAGGCTGGGGAAGACAAGCCTCAATAACTTGTCAGACTGAGTCAGGACTGAGATTCTCAACAGTAATCAGCTAAGAGGTATTGCTCTCCTATCCTAAGAGATGCCTTCTTTGGCAAGACTGTTCAACTATGTCTCATTACTAAAGGTAGACAGAATCACTTGGGAGAATCCAGGATGTGGTACTGTTTTGACACGGTCCAAGCTGGATGATGTAAGCAGGAGAGAATGTTCTACCAAAAACCTTGCAACATCAGATCTTCAGCTGTGCAGCCAGTCAGCACACAGAAGCTAAGCTAAAGAGATGTGGCATCCCCACAGGGAAAGAGAAAGAAGCATTAGGTAAGCAACTGCCTCATTTCCCAGCAGTCATGAAGGCAGTTTTGCTAAGCCATCTCATAGCAGGTTATGGATCCTGAATTTCTATGTATTCCCTTAGCCCAGAATCCTGCTTTGCTTTTATGAACTTACCACAAATGATGCTCCTGTTCTAGAGTCTAGGGGAGTGATTCCAAAGTCTGGCTGCAGAGTAGAATCACCTGGAATGTCCAAAATAAAAATCCAGATTCTACCCCTGAACAATTAAGTCAGAATCTGTGGGGTCCTGGCTTCAGTGTTTTTCAAAAGTTTCCTAGATGATTCTTATATAGAGCCGTGGTTAAGAGCTATATTCTAGGGCTCAGATTCTGTCCAACTCCTTTGGTTTGACAAGCAGGTTGGCTGCTGCTAGAGGACTAACACTTAGCTCCTTTCTAGGACTTTGCATTTTTTTTCAATGATTCATAGTCCTCAGACTGACTATCACATGCATACACGCATACACAAAACTGTCCTGCTGTGGTACAAAATGTGTGCCTTATTGAGTCTCAATCCAGGGACAATTGCAGCAAGTGAAGTTTCCAGAGGCCTGGGTATCCATAACACACACAGGCATCCCATCCTTGCAGACAGTTCACACATGGATGTGTGATCCAGTGGCAGGTCTCAAGAAAGGAAAGCTTCCAAAGCCAGGAGCTTGACTGAGACAGAGCCTTGAGGTCTTGGACTGGATCTCCCTTCCAGGTACACACTAGAGGCAGGCAGCTTCCTTGTTTCTTCCTCTGCTCTGGCTGCTGTTTCATTCTAAGCCTCTGCAGACACATTCTTCATAGCTGAGAAAACTCACAGATGGAATGACTATTATTGGTGCTTGTCAATCCAGAAATAAACCACAATTTGCTCGGCATTTCAATCTTTACCACTGATGTGTTAGTTTCATTTAATTAGTTCTGTGCTGGATGAGGTCATTAGATTTGCGTCCTAATGGAAACCTATTACTCAGCTCTGCATGGTGAGGAGTGTGTAGGACTGATTTGCATTATCTCTGGAAAGAAGGTGAATTCTCTCACTACATTTGTGGTGGGCAGCAGGTCTTCCAGCAGAAACCCATTTGAGATAACACTAATTGAAGGGACACCTGTCTTTTGAGAATTCTTTTAAAATTTTCATAGCAGATTGGCTGTATGCCCTGAGAAAAGGGTAAAAAGTGTGCTACTTATAAAACGCAATTTTGGAGAAAAGATGTAGTATGATAGCTAAAACTGTTACATGAATATCACTGAGTATTTTTTAAGCTCTTCCTCTTAGAACCAAATTTGAACAAATTCTTCCCACACGTTCTTCTAGAGTTCACAAAATGGAAAGTGGAAAGTAGAAATGAAACCACACCTGTTTCCCTCCTGGAGTGAGCCCTCATTGAATCTCTGTAGTAGTGCCTATAAGAGTGCTTTTATTTTACAGGGGTACTATTATCATTTTCCTTTTTCAGAGGAGAAAACTGAGGCTTCACACTGTGAGACCTGAGGCTTCAAGTTACTGAATATTTTGCTCAAGTCATTGCTTGTATCAAATGGAACAGATGGACCCCAAACCCAGTGTGGCTGGTCTGAAACTTTCCTCTTTGTTTTTATACTGCATCAAAAACAGTTTTTCTTGCCCTGATAGAATCTATGCCACTTAATTCTCAAAACCCTGTCTTCATCACATCCCACCATTCTGAAATATTCACCTTCCCTTACAAGATACCACCATTTGAAAATCGCAAAATATTTTTAAATCTATCCTCTTTCTTATATATTTTTTATCAAGATTCCTTCTCTGGATTCTGGCCGTATTATGAAAACAGCAGGTCCAAGTGTCATTGGGCCAATGTAAAATTGTGTTGCTGTATTAAGACATGGACCTAATGATCCTGGAAAGCTGAGTGGGTTTAGTTATGTTTTGTTTTCTTTCCTGTCTAGGACATCATGCAAAGCTAGACTACAAGAACCAGGGATTGATTTCAGTGTTTCTCTGGGGGATGGGGTAATGGGGGATAGATGGTAAGTCTATAATCAAGACCATCTCTAAGGAAGAGGATTGATACTCTTTCCACGGGTGACACTGCATTATTTTCCATGTAAATGGTGCCCCAAGAGTACTATGGGCAGTCTTGTTGCAGATCTATTTCATCTTCCTTTCCCCTGCCCTCACCTCCCTGCTATTTATTGTTTCCCTTCACTGTCAAATTCTCTGAAACATTGTCTGTATTCACCGTGACTCCTTTGCAATGCACTTTCACTGCAATCCTTTAAAAAAGTTTGTCTTCCTCCTACATTTTTCTGATACCACTTTCTCTGAGAAATTCAATGTATAAATCTACCAGCTCAGGAATCCCTTCTTAATTTTTCTCTGAGACTAGTCACTATTTTATCCACTCTTTCTAGAAGTTCACTTCTTTCTTTATTTTTCAGTTTCACTTTAGCCTCTAATAGGAGGTGGTTGTCTAAGGGCCTTGAGGAGGCTGAGCTTGCACAGTGATAGTTAATTCTTGTTAGTGGCTCTCCCTCTCTAGTTCAGCATATGCTTTCTTTTCCTTTCTCATAAGTGGAAACAGTCATAATGTTCTGCTGTTGGATGTTTCCTGGAAAAGTCTTTGGAGAGTTTCTCTTCTTCTAAGATTTCAGCTAATGCACTATGTGGTATACAGCTTATCTGTATCTCCAGCCTCCACCTCTCTCAAGCTCTGGCCTTCCATTGGTCACTCAGTACTCACTGATCATCTCCATCTAGAAAGCCCTGTGGTAACCCAGAGTCAGCCGAAATGAAGACAAGCTCTTCATCTCTCTAAATATATTTTTGACTCTTTATCTGTAGTCTACTAACTTCATCATCTATGCACTAGATAGTAGATTGAACCAGCTGTAAACTATGTCTACTAGTTTTGTGCAGTGGTTCTCAAACTTCAGCGGGATCAAGACCACTGTCATGATAGCACACATTGCTAGGTCCCCCTTGAGAAGTTTCTGCTTCAGAAGGTCTGGGGTGAATCCTGACAATTTCATTTCTAACAAGGTCCCAGGTAATGCTGATGCTGCTGGTCCAAGGACCACACTTTGAAAGACACGGATTTCCTGCACAAGTCTGGAGCCAGATTGAGTTAGGCTTAAATCCTAACTCAGCCATGTGCTTCATGTATGAATCTTGGCAAACTTACATGAAGTCTCTCTGATTCCTCTTCTGTAAAATGGGGACGATTAAAGTATCTACCTCATAGATTTTCTTGTAAAAACGACATGAGTATATAAGCAAAGTGCTTCCAACAGTTTTTGGCAGACCCTCAAAAACTGTTAGCTATAATTGCACAGCGTTTACTCTCTCTGCTTTCCTTGTCCTCACTCCCAACAACCAATCAGCTCTCATGTCCTAACAGTCTGCACTCTGGAATACATCCATTTCCTTTTCATTATTGCTGTGGATGGGATTAAGTGTGTAATCACATTGTCATTCCCCTCACTCTACTCATGGTCATTTAACTGATTGGAACTGTCACTCTCTATCCCTGCTTCCCCAGACCTCATACTGTTGTCAGGTTCTACCTTAATCACTTTAAAGCAATCATTACAAATAGGTCCCTTCCTTGCTTAGAAAGTGAATGTTGAGTATATTAATAGGGTATTTGGGACTTTCCTTGTACTGAGGGCACCTGGGCTGTCTATGCATTTCCTCTCATAGCATTCATGATATGGAATCTATGTTTTTGTAAATGTACCTCTTTGCTTTCCTGCTTCTGTAATTTTTTACATTATATTCATTTCTTTTGATATATACTCCCCTTCACTATTACAAGGCAGAGTCTTAATTCATTCTTCAAGGCCTGGTCAACTTTCCTTTGCCCTTCCGAAGGTATAGCAAAATGGTTTCATTCCTCATGAGAATGCTGACTGATTGATGGTAGCTGCTTAGAGAGATGACAAGAATTCTGGGGCCACATCTACCTGTGTTCAATCACAAATAATATCATGGCCAGTGAGCAGTATCTACTGTAGACACAGGTTAAATGCATGGATGCATCTGTAACAAGTATTGTCTCTTACGCCATGGAGTACATTTTATACTGTGGATGCCCAATGCATTTTGGAAATCTCACAACTCAGTAGGCATAACCTGAATTGTCAATGTGAGTTTCATTTTGATTATGATAGCTAATTTTCCCTTCTTCATTCCAGGATGAGGGTGAGACCTTATCTCAGAGAATGATATTGCCAGCCAGAAAATCATAATAGGCAATGAAAATAAGCCTTTACCACCTTAGTTCGAGAAAGCAATATTTGGAACAGGGAAAATATATTGGTTGTATTGGTGGCTACAGGCTTAGGGGTGAGGTCTTGGGTTTTGAGGTATAGGGAACCAGAAGAAAGAATAAGGGGATATTCTCCCACAAGGATAAAGAAAATCAGAGGGTTCTTGGGAATAGCTATTTATAGAGGACTTCCATCATGGAGAACTCCTGATTTTACATGTGCAAGGTAGAAAAGTGATAAATTCCAGCTCTGCCACCTATGAGCTATGTAATTGGGCAGGTAGTTAACTTTTTTTGAGCTTCAACACTATTATCTTAAAAACAGAAATCATGATGCTACCTATCAGGGCGATTGCAAAAATTAAAGGAAAACATATATAAAACACTTTGTATAATATCTGACTCAATAATTGGTTGTTGTTCTTATGAATGTTGTATGGAATAACAATCAAGAAAATCCCCTTAAAGGTGTTAAAACTCTTTGCCTCTTATCCCATATTCCTATATTCACCGTTAGTTATACACACATAATGTCATGAAGTGTCTAAACAATACTACAACTACTAACTAATTAACTCTAATTGATTGGAACTGTGTAAGCAATACTGCTGGTTTACTGTTTTCCTGCACCAACTAGCATGAGTTGATGCTGTGAAGGTAGAGTTTTGGTGCTGCTGTCATATTTAATGCATTCAAATTTAAAAGAGAAACAGCATGAATATTACTTAGAAATTCATACCTTTCTAAGGAAGTTTACTCTCTTAGATTATCACACTTTATACCTTAGATATTTTGGCTTATCTTGTTCTTTTCCTGATGATGTTATTAAATACCTTGAAACACATGGGTTCATAAATATTGTAATTTATTCGTTCAACAAATATTTTTGGATGTTTCATGGGGCCAAGGTTCTATTCTAGATATCAGAGACATAACTGTGTACAAAACATATAAACCTACTATTCTACTGGAGATTATCTTCTGGAGATAGAATTTAGACACTCAACAAGTGAGCAAACAAACAACCATGCTGCAATTTTAGATGTTGACATTTTCTCTAAAGAAAATAAGATGATGGAGTAGAGATGACCATGGTAGGGTTTGGGTAATCATTTTTGAATTGTGGCGAGAGCTTTGGCCACATTTGAATTGATACCTGCATGATGATAAAGGATGAAGCAAGAAAAAAATGTGAATTCTGAGTCCTCTAAGCAGCGAGAAAAGCAAGTGATCCAACTGGCATAAGGACTGAAAGAAGGGCCAGTTGGTAGCTACCAGGAGTTTGGAAAGGAGTGTTAAAAATCAGTGCTGGAGGGGCTGGCTGCGCTGATCCTGGAGGGTGCTGGAAGTCACCTAGGGAGTTTGGAATTGCTTGGGTGCAAGAGAAGCCAGTGAAACATAAAGATGGTAGCAAGAAAAATAAATTTGATTTTCCAAGTGTACATGAACACTGAATGCCTGTAGATCTAACCTTATAAAGAATTTGGTGGCTATTTATGTAGATGAAGTGGATACTCACCTGTGATTTGTTTTCTAGATTCAAATTTTCTCCCATTGAAAAAGCACAGGGTTTACGCCTTTCTACTTTGTTGTTCCTGAATTCAAAAACTTTTGAGTTCGTTTTTAATATATTCCATGACATATTCATGTCATCCTGTTCTCTGACAATAATTTTCAGTGTGGCCCTGATCTGCTACATTATTTATTTCTTTCTCTTTCCCAAAGCTATCTTGTGTCCTCTTTGTATTTCTGTCTTTTATGGACCTGAGAAGATATTAACGTAGAGATTTTGATAAATTGCCTCTGCTGTCCTTGGATTACTTCACTTTCCTTTAGAAGGCTCGCTATGGCCTTAAAACTGTGGGCCTGTTTAAGGTTATTAATTCGTTCCAGTTCTTGGGGAGAGCAGCATGAGCCTCTGCATGTATCATCTGGTTGAATATTCTAACAATTTAACAATTGTCTTTTCGTCTCTTGTCCCCCACACTTTCAAGTTGGGGTTGTCTTTTAACTTCACTCATAGACTTGGACATTCCCTTCCATTTCAAATAGATGTTTCCAACTCTTGTGTTATTTCTCTTCTTTTATTATATTTGCTGTATCTACATATTTTTTCAAGAGCTGTACATTACTCTTGACTGTTCTAAATTGGCATGCCTTTATGTTGACCTCCTGATCTTCACCTGTATACATTATTTGTCCCAAGGCTTTGATTGGCTGCTTAGTCACATTGAGCACATTCGCTGAAGCTCTAAAGACTCTTCTGTAGAGTCGACAACTGTGTCAGTTCTGTGTATCTAGTGCCAGAAAAGTACAAGGGTGATGTTTTATTCATACTTTGTGCTTTCCTTCACAATGACTTGTTAATTTATTTTTAAGTTTTCTTAAATAGTTACATTATTTTTATATGATTCAAGATTTTGAAAACATTTTTTAAAATTTAAAATGGATATGATTGAATTTAATTATAACCCACAGAATTTTAATGGGCCATTTGAAATTGCAATAATTGAAGAAAATGTTTCAAAAATATTTTGAGTGAGCTTTTGAAGTCTCTAACATACAGTATATATAATATCCATTTTAAAAAATTTTCTTAATGTGTTGATAATATGTGGTTTCTTTTACGAAAATACTGTTTTTCATATAAATTCCTAGGGAGAACTTTGAAAGAATAATAGTGATTAAGGAAAGCATTTAAATAAGAATTAACCCAAAAGTAGAAGAAAATCAGTTAATAAAAAACCTAGTCAGAGAAAAAATGCCACAAGTTGTTTTTTTCTTCTTTGAAAGAACTTTGATGATATTCTTTCATTTCCCCAGCCCCAGAAAGAACAAAGCTTGTAGGCGATGACTGTGAGCCAGACGAATCTTGAAACTCTTTGCTCATTCCTCCCAAGTATCATTCACCTACAAATACATAACTTAATTCTATGCTTCTATTTGGAAGAGGGAAGCTTTAAAATTATTGCAAACGTTCTTGCAACGGATCCAGTTGCGCCTGCCTCATTTTCCACCTCCTACGATGATTATGATTTCAGAGTGGATTTCAGAGGAGAAAGAATACATTTCTCAGAAATGTCACTTTTATTTTAAAATTAAAAAAATCATTTCTAGATGTTGCAATTAATATAAAATAACCCTTCAAGAATCATAAAAAGAGAACACTGACAAATTTTCTGCAAATGAATGTGAAAAAATTTTAGCATAGCAAAATATGGTGGCAGAGTGTCTACAAAGTTTTCTTCCCATGCTCATAGAAACTTCACTGAAAATTCAAGACTGGCTGGAAGATTGAGTGAACTAAAAACCTGCAACCTTCTTCTAATTCTGAATTCTCATATTAAAAGAAGAATTAGTTGTCAGATCTAGAATGATTATTAGCCTTTATTGCTGCTTTCTTCTTAAAATTTTCACAGTAAGTAGTTTATTTCTGAATAAAAATGAATGAAAATTGCTATAATCTATTGTGTTTGGTTATTTTATGAACAATAATATGAATATGATGAGAAGTGTAAGTTACAAAAAGAGACCAAGTCAAAATTTAAGAAACATTTCATTCATACCATTTATTTAGAAACACTTTCTAATTAATTGAACACTTTATTTTAAAGCCCTTGGTGCTGTTAGGGAACTGTAACCAAGTCCAAACTGGTAATTAGTAAAAATATTAAAAACTAAAATTTTAAATTATTTCTCAAGTGGATTCATTTTGTTGTCCCTATGTTTTTGCATACTATAGTGGTATTTCATAGGGTTATTTCATCGTCCCATTAAAACTATGCTGCAGTTTCCATTCATTACCTCACTTGATCAGACAAGACAGAATAAACCTCTTGCCCAAAGCACCCAACTAGAAAGGGTGGGAGCTGCCCAATTCCAAACTTCATGCCTTCCACTTAGACTAGACTCTGCTTCCTCTCTCTGAACTCAGTTTTCTTGGACTGCTAGCCTTTTCCTTTTGTGGAATATTTTCTCTGCCTCCATCTAGAGTGTCATATGTAGTTTCCTATATGGTGAAAAATAAAATAATTCAAAAAATGAAAGGAAGGTTTTAAAGCTCCAATACAGCTTTGAATCCAATAACCTAACAATGAATATAAACTTTTCTATGATTTAAAAAGTATACTTGTACATCTATTCTTTAGATTATCAATGTTGTTTAGTGTAGGTAATGCAGATGCTCAGTCTACCATCTTGAATTAGAAGCAACTTATTTATTGCTTACCAGAATCTTTCCTGAGTTGCCAAGAGCATAGAGTTAGGAAATTTTGTAAACGTTTACCTTGGACAGTATCTCCTTAGGCTGAAATTACAGTAGGTGGACAGTAACAATATGATCTTTATTTTAGTTCTTTGATATTGGAATATGAATTTTCTAGAAGGGTCAAGGCACTTACATGACCTAAAAAATTAGACTCTATTTGTTAATAAGAGTCTAACTTATTTCAAAGCAAAAGGCCAGTGAAGGATCCTCAGGGCTGGATTAATGTGATTTTCAGCACAGAGTGATGATGGCAATTATGGTTTCCAAAGCCTGGGAGCTGTGTGTTTTCAGATGTTGGAGAGGGAATTGTTTGGAATTCCCAATTCCAAATGATTTCCCTATTGTTTGGAGCCAGTAGAAATACTGACTCTTGTCAGTATATTTATTTACAAAGCTCTTGATGTATGCCCACTTTAAAGAATTAACTTTCAAAAATCTTAAAGATATAATTGGAGTAAGTTTGTTATATATGAAGAAAAAATAATTCTAAGAGTTAGAATATAAAATGTGCAGAATGTAACTGTGCTTTTACTTTAAGTTTAGGAGGAAAACCTAAACATAACACATTCTTCCAATGATATTATGAATCATGTATGTCCTGTCAAAGAAAATGATCACTTAATATGTGATATTATTAATGCTTTAATATGCAAATATTCTGCAAATGTCAGTAACTGAAGGAAGGAGATAAAATAGTCCTTCAAAAGTTGAACATACTCATACATACTGTGCATAGGACACAATTTTAAATAAGATTACGACCTATTCATTTAATGACAACAATAAGTTCGTTTTATTCATCAATAATTCATTTTCCAAAGTACATATCATGGCTAAATATTATTTGAACATAATGGATACACACGAGTAATTGTCCTGAATTCCTATATAAATCTATTAACACAAAGTAGTAATGTAAACAGTAAATACACTACAAATACCTGTTCAAGAATGGCCACACTCTTTTAAAATATTCATATATTTTGCATTTAGTTTAAATGAAATCTCATTCTACAAAATTTGAATAAACTGGCTCTAAAATGTACTTCTTATTCTCAATTAGAAATATAGTTCATGAAAAGTGATTTGTAAAAACTGAAGGAAAAGGAATTTTTGTGTTTTCATAAGTTATTGTATAATTGGCTGACATGTTTATAAATCCCTTTCTCCAGGAAGATGTAAAGGAACTCAACAGACCAGGTTAACCTGATTCTTCTTTGCATTGTCACAAAGAAATGAAACACAGAATTAAATAAAATAATGCAACCAATGTTTTAAATTTTTGCAGTAAAGAGGTCAAAGGAGCTCATCTTTAAATAGAAATAAGCACCATAGTTTTATTCTAACTGCATAGATAACAATATATAACTTGTAGAACATAATTTTATGAGTTGGTTTGGTGGACAAATGTGTAATTCTTCTTATGTGGTCTTATGTGGGACCATTCAGGACAAAAAATGACATACTGATCTTTATATTTGCAATGCTTACCATGTAATACACACTCAAAATACTTTTTAATTGAACTTCGTGTGTGTATAGCACAGAAAACTTATCAAACCTTAAAATGTAGCAGTTAAAAAAGATAGTACATTTCCTTCCTTAGCATTAGGTTAAATTTTAAACTGTTTTAATTTCCTGAAGTGTCTTATAAACTTTTAGAATTACAAAAAAATGTGGTTTTTAATAAAATATTTTTCTCCCTCATTATTGAAGACGATGTTACCATACAACTGAGATGGTTTAAACTTCAGATGCTCCATAGCAGATATTTGTTTTTTACTTTCTTTCATGTCAGGCTGCTTCTTTCAAATTGGTCATTACTAGACATTTTCATTGCAATAATATTTATTATTTTTATGTCTTTTGAAGCCTTTAACCCAGAAAGGCCTCTAAGTACGTTTTGGATCATAAAATAAATGGAAAAATCTTTAATCTTAAATAATCATTAGTTTAGCAAATATTTCTGTTGATGGTTTTCACTGGAACAGAGCTTGCTGATATGATTGTAAGTGTAGGATAAGGCCACCCAGTTCAGATAATTCTCTTCCAGAGTAGGACTTCTAAGTTGGAAAACAATAAAGACTATAAGGTTGTTTAAAACCATGCTTATTTTACTTATAGATAATTCAGGCATTGACATATGTATTATGTCATTTGCAAATGATCATTAAGAATCTCTACTTGGGGGATAGATAATAATAATCATATCTTTCTCAATAAGGGAATATGGTAAAATTCCAGATTTAGTAGTGGCTAATGTAACCTCCTTTTCATGGCTCTATTCATGCCTCATTCCTTTCCTATCATCCTCCATCTAGGTCACTAGCCCTTGTTGGAGAATATTGTATCCTATTGCTCCGTGCTGGTCTGCTTACCTCATGGCCTTAATATTGTTATGACCTTGCAGGAAGCTCTCAGTATTCTGTCTAAAGTTGCTCAAATAATGTTTAAATGTGCAATGTTTATGCTTTAGCTGGATTCCAGCCACAGTGAGTAACAAGATCCACATTTTTTTCTTCACCAGAATTCCAGGAAGTGGCATAGTATCCCTCTGAGGGAAGCAGTGAGAAAAATGGATTGGTCTACCCTCCTCAGCCTTTGGAGAGCTTTGGAGGAGTCAATAAGATGATAGACTTGATGTTATGAAATGTGATTTCTTGCCATAATACTTCTCATCTTCAGTAACTTCAAATATCACCACACACTACACATCTTTGAGGCCAAAGAAGGAGGAGGTGGAATTCCCTTACCACACATATGTAAGCAGAGATGAATAGGACAAAAATTGATGAACGTTTTGGGGATGGACCAAAACTTGCCCATCTTTTGAAATCACGATTTACACTAAAATTAGCTAAACCTCCAAGAAAATGAACAGTTACAAGTGATGGACTACATATTTTTTTTTAAAGCGTTCTTGGTTTCTTTCATTTGACTGCATGACACTATAAAATCACACAAGCTAAGACCAGGAGAAGGTGCGTGCAGATGTGCTTCTGACTTCTTGAAGACCTACACATCTTGCTGAGGAATTCTTTGCTTCTTTAGTGAGTGGTGCTGAATGGAATGTTAGGGCTCCTATAGCTATAGGGGAAGGTTATTTTGGGGTTATTAGTGATACCTGGTAGCTGATTCCTGATTACTCTCTCAGACTGTCTTCCCTGTTTCCTCTCTTCTGTTGAAAATGTTCTCTGGCAGGATGATTTCTGTCAATAAGAGCAATTGGCTTTCCTCGTCGAGGTTCGTGCAAACAGAATTGAAAAAAGCTGAGTGAGTGGGCAGGTTTTTGCTGGTTTGTTTAACAATGATTTGAGAACTGAAACTAGAGCTGTCTGAAATAATAAACAGGTTTCTCAGTGACTGGAAGAGAATGGTGTTTTGTTCTTTGTTCTGGTCCTTTTCTCTTTTGACAGTCCTATATCCTTGACTGTTTTCATGGCTCTGTATTCTATACATGGCCTGGAAATTTGACTGAGGGTCTCATAGCTAAAAAGTATTAGAAGTCGTGGCCACCTCCTCACGGAGCTCTCTTATTTCCTCTTCGCCTTGACAACTTCTGTATTTGCTTTAGGTCTGAACTGGAAGTTGCTTCCAGGCTTATCGCCCAGGTGAGTTAGGTGTCTGCTTCGGTTTCCTCACACAGTATTGTCCTATGTGCTTCTTTTACGATATTGCACAGCACATGTTATTACAGTCATTTCTTCAACGTTTGCTTCCTCATGGGACTGTGAGTTGTGTGGATACAGGAGTCATAGCTACTTTGCTTATTGCTGATCTGACAGAACCTAACTCAATGCCCAGTAGAGAAGGTCTCATAAATAGTCATTTCACAGGAAGAAATGGATTTATTTTTGGAGATGTCATTACCAAATAAAGCCTTCTAGGCAGCAGCGCCCATGCTGGCCATTTGACTCAAACTGTGCTGAGGGAAGTATCCCCTGGCCTTGGAAGATGAGTGTCATTTTGATTCCAGCTCTCCAGGTTTTTCATCAATGTCAGCACCTGCTGAAAAGAACCATCAAACTGGCACTACTGCTGACTTGTTTGCAATCCTTTTTTAAAGTTTACCTAAAAAGAAACCATAAAAAGCCCATCAGATTGTTTTTCCAAAATCCACATAGACAATAAAGGCATTTATCTAAATAATGTTTTGGCTTCACATAACATCAATAAACACTTCATGAAGATTAAACTGACTGAAAACCTTTTATACTTGTCAACTGATTTCTGTTGGCTGAGTTGATTTTCTTTATAAAGAATTTAAAAAGTAAAGTTGTTTTGCATTAATGCACTTAGGGATGTGTAAATGATTTTCCTTAAATCACATTTTTCTGACAACGAACACGGAGTGAAAGATTATTAAAACTGATTTCTCATGAAGTTGTTTGCATACCTCAAACAAATATGTGAGGCTGTCTCCATCAGTGAATGCCATGTGTTGATGTGATTGATGAATTATAATTAACCTTGGCAACATGTTTTACAGCTTAACTTTAAGGATCAATCGAAATTAGTTATTCTGAAAGTCAGTAAAATCGCTTCTATCCTCAGCTTACTGCAATAAGTAATGGCCTTTCTCTGGAAGAGTTCTTAAAATATAGTGAACAAATACTTAGCTATTGAATCTACTTTTTAAAATAAATGAGAGACCAATGGGATTGGAATAACTTAATTTGAAGGAGAGAAGTCTCCAGGCTGATTTAGTGGCTGTTCTATCAGGAGTTTCCAGTGGGCAGGGGGATCAGTTCTGATTAACAGTTGAGGCAGTTACCTAATTAAAACAGGGTGTATGAAAGTAAGGGAAGTGGGATAGTAGGGGTCAGACATCTAAGAACCTCTCTTCCCCCTATCCAATCAAAGAGAAAAGCTGAAAAAAATCTTTATTTTCTGAATGTATATTTAATGAAGGTGGAGCCATGTATAACACTAACATTATAGAGTGATATTAAATAGGGCACAAGATATAGATCACTTAAAACAGGTGGGTTCCCTTAGGCTCAGCATATCAAGTGACAATTTTTTTTTTGGTGTGCTGCCAACTGGCAGAGCCTTTTGACAAATGTGATGGACCTTGGAAAAATGATAAATGTCTTGACCTTGGAAAATCCCCTTTTGGAAGACTTTGTCCTAAATGCTTATTCATTATACCCTACAGTAATCACTGTCAAATATCAAAAGATGACTCCTTTTATAGCTCGTGCAAAGCTTAAATACTTTAGAACATGACTGAAGATGACCAAACACACTCTCCAGAAAGTTTTAGTCACCTGACCATAGCCCCTATGTTTTTGATGGTCATTGTAGGCATTTGGAGGTATCACTTTGGACACTCTCCTTGACCTTTTCTCCGCAAGGTCTGTCATCTCCATTTAGACTACACAAAATAACGTAACTTCTCTACTCACTCATCCTGCATATCCTCTGCTCCCAGTAGGGCTCTCAATAAGGCAATTACTTATCTCTGTATTAGCAAGGGGGACTCTAATTGCACCTTTGCATGAAGCATGGGCAATTAACTAAAGGGAAGTTGAAGCTTTAGTAACTCTCCAATGGCAATCCATCCTGTCCTGTGCCAGCATGGCCACCCAGAGCAGACCCATGCCTGCTTTCTGCGGGGGGATGTGGGATGTTTGGTCCCAGAAATATTAAAAATTACTGGTGTTATCTCATAATTGTAGCCTGATTAAATAGATCTTATTTTTTGTTCTATCTTTTGTGCAAAATGGCCCTTGTACAGAAATTTTCTGAGATACTGAACTATGGAAATAACCCTGGGATTACATTGGTACTTTTCTGGACTGGAAGACTTGGAGTGACATGCTGCAATTTTTACCAAGTTTTGAATAGATCATATGGCTTATTTTCTTTTAAATACTTGCATTGCCGTAGTGTAGGTTCCTGAGCTAATTTCCGTCTGGGATGAGGTATGGTCTTCTGATGTCCAGTCATGGGTCCAGATGGTGATGGTAAGAAAGATAGCATGATTGCTGAATGGCATACAGAAGGAAACAGAATTTATCCCTAGTAAAGAGATGGATAGGAACTTACTAGAACAACAGGATATCCTCTTGTGATTAGGAGAGGAGGTATTACTCTTCAGCAAAGACCTGGGGTACTAGATAAGATGTATTGGCCCGGAGGAAACAACAGAAGAAGAAATCTGTTGCACAGTTAAGCTGCTGTGGTTGGTGGTTGGTGAGGATGGAGAGGAATGTGGGGATGGGGTGGAACTGACTCCAGGGACTCTTTTAATAAGACTCAACGTAATTCAACATGCAGCTTGCATGAGGAGGACAGGGACACTCCAGTGGCTCCTGTAATTGAGTCCTGACAGTGAATCTAAATTCCATTTTACACCAAGAAAGTCTAGATGGAGCCAGAGGTGCTTTCCCTGATATGGCCAGATATGAGAATCAAGGGAGGGCAGAGGAAGATGGAGAGAGTGTGCCCTGGCAGCTATCATCTCATATTCTCTGGACTTTGTATTTCCCTTGCCCCATGTCAGGTTTTGTTTGTTTGTTTGTTTTTGTCTGTATCAGTTTTTAATTCATTTTTACATTATTCATTGAATATATTCATAGAGAAAGGATTGACAGTAGACATGGCTATTTGTTGGATTTCTTCTGTATTTTATATGTAGCCTTTTGGTAACAAGCAAGGTGGACATCCTTTGTTTTATTTCACCTAATCCTAATACTATGTATTCCAAGCCTGTGCTTATATGGCTGTGGGTCTCAAACTCATATATCTACAGAAGTCAAGCAGAAATGTAAATCAGGAGCAGGATAGTGGGGGCTGTGTCCAGCTGAAGGCTGCTTGCCCAGTCTAATGAAACTGATCTAGAGGAGGTTGTTCTAGCCATTTTTTCTAGAAGTGGACACATACGAGGCAGATAACTAGATTGTTTTAAAGAAACATTTTAATTTTGAAAACATTACATTTATTTATTTATTTATTTATTTATTTATTTATTTATTTATTATTTTGTAATCTGGAGGGTTTAGCTGACCTCTGGGCCACCAATTCACCTGCACTGATGTGATTGGGAGCCAGTGAGAGTTGTGGATCTGTGTCTTGAAAAGTCACTTCCTTTATGCTAGTGTAGACCCATCAGTAGTAGGTCACCTGGAAGCCAGGGCTCTGCGTAGGACTCAGGGCAGCAGGACTGAAAGTTGTGTAACACAGCAGTTAAAAGGAGGGCTCAGGACCAGAATGCCTGTGCTTGAATTCCAGTCCAGCTACTAACCAGCCATGTGACCAGCCAAGTTGATTTATGCTTCTAGCCTCGGTTTCCTCATGTAAAAAGTGGAGAAAATATAAGTATGTGTTTCACAAGGTTGTTGTGATGATTAAATGAGTTAATGCAAATTAGCGACAAAGGTATGTATGCATCCTCACTGTTAGGAACGAGGGAGCAAGATGGGACATGGTGGTCCCCTGAGTCGCAGTCAGTGAGGCAGCTGTGTCCATGCCTGTGGGATGCTTTTCCACTAGCACCTCCACAAAATTTTTAATTCGAAGGGTAGGATGAGGGATCTGAGATTTTAAAACACCTCCCAGGTGACTTCTGCAAGAAACACCTGCAGAGGAGAGAGAGCTTGGTCACTGGGGTCCGATCCTGGCCCCGGTGTTTACTAACAGTGTTGCCTTGGGCTGATGACTCATCCCAATCTCTTTGGTTTCCAAACGTTCACTAATGCGATCTGCTCTGTGAGGCTGATCATCTGGCAGAGCTCATGGCACTTAACACAGACTCTACAACACGAGTTCTCCTGTCTTCTCGGTCTTAATCTAGTGCAAGTCTCCCCACCAAGACTTGGGAAACACTCCTAAGGAAACAAAGAGGAAGAAAGTGAGATCCCAGGGGTGAAGATTGGATCCTTTGTGTGCTTAGTTCTGAAGTGGAATCAAATCACTTCAGAAGTTGGTTGTGTGTTGGCCTCTGGTGAATTTGTTTCACAATGCCATGTAGGAGTACATCCGTGGCTTCTCATATTTGTTTGCCTAACTATAATTGAGCAGCTTGAATTCAGGCTACATTTTTAAAGAAAACTAGTGATCATATTCACATATGATGCTCTGGCAGTACACAGAGTCAAGTTTTCACTGGAAAATAGCTATTAAAACCCAGCAATGTAAGTTTTCCTATGCAACCTTGATTTATTATTTTGTCAAATATAGTTCAACCTATATATAGCCAGTTAGGAGCAAAGGTGTAGGGTAGGAAATCTCTAGCTCGGTTCCTATAGTATCCAACATTCTATAAGAAAACATGCACACACTTATCAACAGGTTTTCAATAATGAAGGCACCATACAACCCATGATAATTATACTAAATATACTGATGCTTATGATTTTCTCATGCTGTGTATCTGGAAGGAGCCTGGTGTCCAGCCTCATACTGGGTCATGGAAGTAGCCTGTTGTGTCTCCGTGTTCTACCATTTATCACAGGGCATCATTTCTGCATCTCGAGTCCCAATTCACAAAATTGAAAGATCTCTCAGGCCTGAGCCTATTGTTGTTTTATCTTTGAATTTTTGACAACCCAGAACATGCCACATTTCAGGAAAGGTTTCTTGAATGAGTGCATAAATGAAGCTTTGATAATGATTTGACATTTCAGCATCTTCTGGTTTGCTCGTAGTTTGCTAAGGAGGAAAATGAAAAGAGAGAAAGTTAGAGAGAGCATTGCGAGCATTGCGATTTCCAGGATATACTTTTATAATGAGTTGTTCCAATACAGACTGCAAGCTCAGAACTTTGAATTAACTGGCACCCATTGTATGCCACCTGATGTTAGTGACAAATGTACCCACTTCAGAACAGGAGCCAATATCTGCGTATCAGGGAGCTGCAGAGATGACAGTGAAAAGGTACATGGCAAGTGATGAATGGTCAGATGCTAATGCCAGCAAGCCCTTTGCTACAGAGATGGAGAGTTTAATTGTTCCCACTTTGATTTCATACCGCAGACGCCATAAACATCTTAGTTTAATCAACCAGAAACATGGGCTGTCATAGATTTAAATTCATAGCAGTTATGGGTCTATATCAAAAGCTATAGAGATGCTTGTTACACACAGATACAAGAACAGGAATGGAAAGCACTGATGTCATCCCCATGGGTTAAACTGGACTATCTGTCTATTTTTCCTGCAGGGTGAGGAGTTTATTAACAAGAAACAGTGTTTATCATACTAGGCATTCAGATAAATCCATTTTCCATTTAATTTATTCATTTGGAAAGGTCAACTTTTCCACCAAAACAATTTCTGTTTCTTTAATGATTTCTTTAATAACTTTCTGTATTTTTGTTTGTATTTCTCTTCTCTCATTTAAAAAAATCTCTTTTCAATATGCCAATTTAATTTTAGCACACCTAATACAAATGGCATTGAAAAACAGGTTTCTTGAGTGTCTTTTTTTCTTTTTAAAATTATTCTCATCACTTCACCTTAGGATGTTTTGTAAGCGCATCACATGTGTTTCATGTGAACCTCACTCAGTACTGGATCTTTTTCTTTCCATTTACATCCTAGGAAGTTATTGTTTCCCATTCCAATACTGTATGCATTTTTCTTTCCTAATTGGCGCTTGCTAGTAGACAGAAAAACATTACGTTTAAAATCCATTTGGCTTTAAATTAATATTTTAGCTGTATCTGAATTATCCCATGAGGCCATATTTATCTTGGAAAACAGATTGTGGTTAAACTCCTGTTTCTAACTTTTATTTGTTTGGCTGATGCCATCTTTCTGTTCAGAAAAGGAGTTAGGGCAGTTGTCTCCTTCCACTAGGCCTTGAATAGCAAATGTTTAGCCCCGAGCAAAAAAACATAACTGCCTTCTGAGATGTTTCAGGCTTTCATTCATGCTGTAGATGCTAATTTTGGAGGAAGACAGAAGCTTATATTCACACAGTTACTAAAAGAGCACCTGGGTCAGGGGGTGGAGACTCGGTTTACCAAGTTCTTAAAAGACAACATGGCTCTTCTGACTTCAGCAGATAAAGAGGAATCGGGGCATTTTCATTCCTGGATCAATCCCACTTCTTGTTCATATGGTCTGTTTATTGCACCAGCCATTAACCAAACTTATGATAGGAAAGTGCAGCTAGTTTTTCAAAATAATGTTTTAAGTCTTCTTTTTAAAAAATAACCAATTCCCCCAGGATATAATAGTCTAATTAATAAACTGATGAATGTTATAATCCATTAGACAGCATTATCCCGAGATGGAAGGGATAGGTATTATTTAATAGGAATGTCCAGAGCAGAGTTTATCAGTACTTTCTTGTCACATGAAAGTACAGTTCCTGGCTCAGAACACACGCCAAGGCTGGTGGCCAGAGGGAAGAAAGAAGGGAAGAAAGGAGGGAAACAGTTGAAGCCACTGGCTGCTTTCTTCTCAAGAGCATGCTTTCTGTTCAAAGCACTTAGTATGTTTGCCTCCAAATTCTGAACTCCTATGACTTCCTGCTAAAGCACTCACCTTCTTTTTATTTAGCTTTCCAACCACAAGTCAGAGCTGCCCTACCTCAGAATAGAGCTTCTTTATTCCTTCAAATTCCCAAGTTTATTTACATGGAAGGGGCATACTGCTCTTGTTAGAAGAATATTAAGAATATCCTTGAGGTTCCCAAGAATTGTACAAATAACTGTTGATTCTTTGGTGATAGACATTCTGATTTTCAACATAGAATGGCTATGCAGAGTAGAGGGTGTCTGTTATGTGTTGATTCTACAAACAGAAGAACTAAATCCACCTGTGTGTTCAGTTTTTTATACCTTTATGTCCTTTATATTCCCAATGGGGGTGAGGAGCGCAGGTAGGAAGGGTAAGAGTCTAAGAAATTGTGCTAAAAACTCATAAGCTTTTGGTTTCAAAATGATTTGGCAAAGGAATTTTATCCTGAGGGACCTGAGTTTGGGGTAAGTTTTAAAGGAAAATAGTGAAAAAGTAGCAACTATAGATTATTAGTTACATTTAACATTTCATGATGGGATGGTGGTGTGTGTGTATGTTGACACATAATGTGTATGTGTATATGTGTTTGTGTGTGGATATATGTAGGTGTGAGTGTTTAAGGTGGGAGTCTTTTGACTCCAGCTTTTATCATTGAATGCAAAGGGCAGAGGAAAATTCACACAGATAATTCGAAGTTTGAACATTTATATTTTTTGTCTTTATATCTCATATTCCTAACATGGGTAACAATGTGCAGACAATTTAATTCTTTTATCCTCAGATATAAGCATTTATTTATTTTTATTTACTTATTTACTTATTTTGAGATGGAGTCTCGCTCTGTCACCCAGACTGGAGTGCAGTGGCATGATCTCGGCTCACTGCAACCTCTGCTTCCCAGGTTCAAGCGATTCTTCTGCCTCAGCCTCCCAAGTAGCTGGGACTACAGGAATGTGCCACCATGCCCGGCTCACTTTTGTATTTTTAGTAGAGATGGGGTTTCACCATATTGGCCAGGCTGGTTTCGAACTCCTGACCTCGTGATCTGCCCACCTCGGCCTTCCAAAGTGCTGGGATTACAGGCGTGAGCCACCGTGCCCAGTTAGATATAACCATTTCTTATAGGAAGACACAATCTTTGTTGAAGAATACTTTGAAAGAACTGCATTAAGGAAATCCTGATCTGGGACTCAGGGTGTGGCACCTAGGGAGCAAGTGAGAAGAGTTAATTAAAGTACTGTTATAGCAACAGAACTGGGCAGTAGGAACTGCAATGTCACTGAGAAGAGGAAGGAGGATAATAGCTGGCTGATAGAGTTTGATATGTGTCCCCATCAAATCTCATGTTGAATTGTAATTCCCAGTATTGGAGGTGGGGCCTGGTGAGGGGTGTTTGGGTCATGGGGCAGGTCCCTCATGGCTTGGTTCTGTCCCGGTGATACTGAGTAAGTTCTCATGGGATCTGGATGTTTAAAAGTGTGGCCCCTGCCCCACAAGTGCTCTTGTGCCTGTTTTCGCCTGTGACTTGCCTGCTTCCTGTTTGTTTTCTGCCATGGGTAAAAGCTCCCTGAGGCCTCCCCAGAAGCCGGGCTGATGCCAGTACCATGCTTCCTATACAGCCTGCAGAACTGTGAGCCAATTAAACCTCTTTTCTTTGTAAATTACCCAGTCTCAGATATTTCTTTATAGCAATGCAAGAATGGCCTAACACTCAGGGTGAGCATGAACAAGCAGGGAGGGTCAAAGAAGAGGAGGTCTTTGGTAGGAGTATGGGTCAGGGAGTGGGGTGAGGGTGGGCAGCATCTTGGAAGAGGGTAGATAATGCTTCTCTGAGATTTCTAAAATATCTTTAGTTTTTATTGTTCATGATCTTTCTTATAAGAGAATTATTTTTGGTAGACTCAAATTCAAGCTGTGTTCTGGGTTCAGGCTGGCACAGATTAAAAACTGAAGCTGGTGAAGGAGTGGCCACAGCTGGAGGGACCACTGGGATTCTGTTTTCTTGAGACTTTGGTCCCGACCTATATGGTGACCATTGGTCCAACATAGGTTGGGACCAAATTCTCAAGAAACCAGAAGACATGGTTCCTCCCTCAGGTTGCTCACAGCATGCCATCCAGTGGTCCCTTGTTGATCATGATTATCGGGAGTAAATTCTGTGTCAACAAAGTTGACCTGGCTATATTTAATTCACCCCCAAATCAAGGCCAGTACTCAAGTCATTTTAGTAAATTTCTGTGGATGCAGTACTACAGATATGTGATTATAAGGGGAGCCCCGATGGGGTCCCATTTATTCCTTTATGATTACCAGGAGAATTGAAAGGCAGATCTTTTTTTGATGAATGTGAATTTCTCTTACTATCTGAATTGTGGAGCCCAATTCCATTCAAATAAATTATCTATAGATTTACTGAATAGGGAAAATAATTTTACTGTTTATTGAGAGGCTGTTGTATGCTACCCTTTTCACTTACATTAATTTATTTAATATTCACAACTCTCCTGAGTGGCTATTATAATTCTTATTTTATTACTGAAGAAACTGAGGATTAGAGAGGTTAAGTAATTTACTCGGTATTATTCGGTTAGTAAATGGGAAGGGCGCAAAGCTCAGAGGTGTGTATGGAAAAGACATTGTTTTTCCTGGGCTGTAGAGGGCTGGAAGTGCTTTCACTGAGGCTCAGGCAGTAGGAGCCGGGCAGCAAGGAGGAGGCAGCCTGAACATGGGCCAGGATGCTGTGCCGTGTGGGATGTGTTCACTCAGTCAACAAACATTTATTGAGTGCCTACCACATGCCAGGCAAGTAGGCAAGGTATGCCTACCACATACCACATACTGCTCCAAGTAGGGTGGATAAAAAAGTGAACAAAAGAAATCCTCTAGAACTCACGATCCAGTGGAATGATGCTGTCACAAATGCAATGACACTGACTCAATGGTTTGCAGCAGCACCCAGACCATCTATTGTTGAGGGGTTTGACATTCCTTCTGATGACTGGCACATCGGAGCATGCTGACTTATCTGCCTACACACTGTGTTGTGAAACACACGATTGTGAGATGGCTCATGAGTAATTTGTCACATTCCTACGTATCAGAACTGGTCAACCTATAAATCCACGTTTGGTCACTTTAGCATTAATAGACATGCTGTAATGACTGCTGGACTTGGGCACCTCTTCCCACCTTGGACAATGATTTGTAAGCACCTGTATCTTTAGTAGAAGTGCTGCCACTTCCATCCTTGATGGCCTTGATGGCATCTTTCCAGGAGCACTGTTCTCTTCTAAGTCCATGCTGCTCCCTGTACTTCTTGGCTTTTCTGTGGTATAAGGTCCCAGGGAGGGTAGGACATTGACTTTTTCTCTAACTCTTTGCTTTAGTTTCTAAACCTTTGTCTTTGACTTCGCTTTCTGATTCCACCCTTCACGCCATCAGCTCTAGAGACAAAGGTAACAGGACAAAGAATCAGGGAATGAGGTGAGTAGTACCTGTCTCTCTGTCCCCCTTTTCTCCCCCTCCTCAGGCAAAATCCCTTCCCTCCTTCAGCTGCAATGAGACATCAGAAAGGGCCAACGACTTACTAGTTATCTTGTGATCCATTTAGGAAAAGAGCAAAGTAATTGCACCATGGTTAGAATACTCAGTATATAAACAAGAATTCAAGTTCTAATATCTGCGATAGACTTATTAAAGAAAGAAATAATAGTAGATTAGATTGAAGTTTATCCTTATAATAACTTGTCTCTTGCTCTCTTGCATTCACATTTGTTTTCTTGAGATGAGATAAAAGATTTAATTTACTGAGAATTTGTTATGTATGAAAATAATATTCATTTCCTCCAGCCTTTCAATTTTTTTGTCACGAAGTTTTGTATAATATATACCTTTATAGACATATTTTCATCTTTTCTACATATGTGGGAATGCCAAATGAAAGCCATTTTTCCTCAATATAACATTTTTAACAAGAGTTCTTAAAATAATGATTCCCCAGTTAATGTATACATATACATTTGCAAAATAGCAAGTTCATTTGGTAATTGCAGAAGAAATAATGGCTTTAATAACCACTGCTCCACTTGGTGTCTGCCTCTAAGCATTGTTAGGACAGCAAGCATCAGGCAATTCCCCATGGCCCTGTTTTCTGAGAAGGTTCTATTTATGTCTTCCGAATTTTGACTATATTTTGACATTTTCAAGTAAGTGTATGGCATCTGTTGAATAAATGATCACTCAAAATGGATTTGCCTCAATTATCACCTAGGCTTTAATCTCTCTAACTACAAACTCCCCCTTCCTCACTGTTGCTGGCAGTGACACCTGCATTCCTGCTGCACCGTCATCCTTGGGAAGGGCTTTGGAGTTGCAATCAGCATCCTTAAGAGAAGAGTACTTAGGTGTAGTATGCTTTGGCTGTTCTCATAAGTCGTTATTGGTCAGCCTGAAGCCTCACTGTTACAATTACTTTGTCTAATTATGATTTTTGCTGTCAAACTTATGTTAAAATTTCAGCAATAACAGTTTATTTGTTCAGTGCTCTCACTGCATTATAAACATGAAGTTTTCACATTTTGTATGTTTTAGTAATCATGAATGACTTTCTAGTATTGTCCACATTATATATTTGATATCTATTTATACTGCGAATTAACACTGAAACAATGAACTAACGTGATTTTCTTGAAGACAACACATTGTGTTCAGTTGGTTCTCTGAACCCTAAATAAAGCTGAAAAGTGTATTAATTTTGGTATGGATTCCCTAATGATTGCACAGTTACTTGTATATATTTTATAGCTGTAAATCTTGGTGGATAAACTAGAATTAGCAGTGCTCAATGACTTCAAATGATTTTTTTTTTTTTTGAGATGGAGTCTCTCTCTGTCACCCAGGCTAGAGTGCAGTGGCGCGATCTCGGCTCACTGCAACCTCCGCCTCCTGGGTTCACACCATCTCCTGCCTCAGCCTCCCGAGTAGCTGGGACTACAGGCATCCACCACCACGCCTGGCTAATTTTTTTTTTTTTTGTATTTTTTTAGTAGAGACGGGGTTTCACCATGTTAGCCAGGATGGTCTCGATCTCCTGACATCGTGATCTGCCCGCCTCGGCCTACCAAAGTGCTGGGATTACAGGCGTGAGCCACCGCACCCAGCTGACTTCAAATAATTTTAAAGATTATACACACACACAAACACACACACATACACATTATTTTTCTTTTGAACTGAAATAACACCTGGTTTCAATTGTTATACATGTTTTCTCAGCTAGTGCTATTGCAGTTGAACCATAATATATATAAAGACAATATGTGGATCCTAGAGGTAATAAATTATTTCAGCAAGGTTGTAGAGTACAAGATTAACAACACACACACACACACACGCACGCACCAGTCACATTTTTATATACTGAAAATGAACAGGGAAACAAAAATTAAAAATGCAATAGTATTTATAATTACTCCAGAGGAAAAGACGTGATTAGATGTAAACTTTAAAAAACATAATCTGTACATACTGAAAATTTAAAAATGCTGACAAAAGAAATAAAAAACATCTTAAATAATTGGAGAGACATATGGTGTTCATGTACTGGAAGTCTCACATAGTAAAGATGTTAATTCTCCTGAAATTGATAGTCATTCCTATAAAAATCTTAGCAAGATCTTTTGTAGATAAGCTTATTGTAAAAGGTGCATGACAGATCCTAGAATAGTTAAAACAATGTTGAAAAATAATAAAGTGGGAAGAATTACTTTGCTGAATATTAAGCTTATTATAGAACTACAGTAATTAAGACAATTTGGCAGCGAGAGAGACACAAATCAGTTGGACAGAATAGAAATTCTTTAAATAGATTCACACCAATTTGCCCACATGATTTTTGACAAAGGCACAAAAGCAATTCAATGCATGCAGGATACAAGTTTCAACAAATGGTCCTGGAGCAGTCAGATATTCATAAGGAAAAACAATCAAACAAACAAAAAACCCAACTGAACCTCCACATAAACCTCACACCTTATATAAAAATCAACTCAAAATGAATTATCGGCTGGAAACATAAAGCTATAAAACTTTTAAGAAAGAAATACAAGAGAAAATTTCTGGGATCTAGCATTCAACAAAGTGTTCTTAAACTTGACACCAGACTCAATACATAAAGGGAAATGTTGATGAAGTCTACTTTATCAAAATTTAAAATGCTTGTCTGAGAATGAGCTTGTTAAAAGAATGAAAAAACAAAGTAAAGACTGGGGGAAAATATTTGCAAACCACATATCTGATGAAGAATAAGTATTTAGAATATATAACACAGTCTCAAAACTCAACAGTTAAAACGATCCCATTAAAAATATGGACCAAACACATTGAGAGACATTTCCCCAAACTGAATATAGAGAGAGCAAATAAGCACATGAAAAGATGTTGAACATTATTATCATTAGGGGAATGCAAATAAAAACCACAATTGATATCAATATATAGCTATCATAATGGCTAAAGTTAAAAAAAAAGAAAAAAGGAAGTAGTGACAACACCAAATTCTGACAGGCATGCAGAGAAACTGGACCTCTGAAACATGGCTGGTGGAAATATATTTGGTACAACCACTCTGGAAAACAGTTTGCCAATTTCTTTAAAAAAACCTATCCATGCAAATATCATATGACACAGTACTTGCACTCTTGCATATTAACCCCTGAAAAATAAAAAGAATATTCACATAGAAACCTCTACTTAAATGTTCATAGCAGCTATAGTCAGACTAACCAAAAATTAAAAACAACCTAGTTGTTCTCTGGTTGTTCTTTGGCAGGTGATAATTAAACACACTGTGGCACATGTATATTGTAGAATACTACTCAATAAAATAATGAACTGTTGATACAGTCAACAACTTAAATAAACCTAGATGGAATTAATGCTAAATTTATCAAGCCAATTTTAAAAGGTCACATACTTCATGGCACCATTTATATAACGTTCTTGAAATGACCAAAATATAGAAATGGAAAACAATGTGTAGTTTCCAGGGTTTAGGCAAGAGTTCAGAGTGGGAGGGAAGTGAGGAAGCTTATAAGAGGGATCCTTATGGTGAAGGAATATTCTGCATCTTGAGGGTGTCAATGTCAACAGCTTTCTTGTGACACTGCATTATAGTTGTGTAAGATATTACCTTTGGGAGAACTAGGTAGAGCTACATGGGATCAGTCTATTATTTCTTGCGGCTGCATGTCAATCTGCAATTATCTCAAAATAAAAAATTGAATTCAGACAAAAGAAACAATACATGGAGGAGGCTTTTGGCCCCTGTGGGAGTGCTCTCTTGATTCTCCTGTTAGAGAGAGAACTGTCTTTTCAGGTACAAGATGGGCTCCTCAGCCTCCGTCCCAGATGGTCTACGTTGAGTTCAATTTTTTGTTAAGTCAAGAAGATCTGTACTTAGACGGCAGTATAAATACTTGGCAGACACTGCAAAAATGACCTCAGTACATACAATATTTGTCAGAAAGCTTGCTTGGTATCAGCATTGTTCAGAAAAAAAAATACTTGAAGACCACAATTCTAAAAACTTATCTCTAGAGCAAGCCTAGAGAGGAGAGAACTGAGTGCCTAAGTTCAATTATTATTGAGCCATCATGAAATTGTGTTTACAGAATCACACTTTGGTGATCCTAGAAGAAATATCTTCCTTTAGTCAAAGAATGATAAAATTTCTCTGAGGCATTAAATTTCCTATGGGAATTGTGAATTATATGACCAATTTTTCTCCTTCTCTTAGGCTACTGAAATTCTACAGCTAATTTGATTTATTCTGTAGCAATGTGGGGGTCATTATATATGATTGTTCAGGCATGACCAACTATTTTTCCTTGGTTCCCCATCTTACCTTTAATTAATGTATCTTGTTAAAGTTTCTGAGTCTTTAGAAGCTGCCTTAAATCTCTATGTGAATAAATAAGGAATAAAGATAAATTTATCTTGATGTACCTGCTTCAGCCTCTTAATATCTCGTAATTGCATAGGACTGTCCTGGAAGCATATTGAAAAATTAAAACAAAAAAAGACTTCTATTTCTGGAATTTTTCTATGCCTCCTTCAACCTTGTATTTAGCAAGCATATTTTTGCAATTTTTTTTTCTTTCTCTATCTTGACTTCCTCTCTCTTGTTAGCCCTCTGATGAATGGGCCAGTTTGAATTTGCTACTCTGGTTTTTGGCCTTTGACAACCTGCCAGCAAATGCCCCGCTTGTCCTCTCACCAAGGATGAGAAGTATCCCATCCTATGCTCTCCCTCAGCTCTAAGGGATTTACTCAAAAAGAGAAAGAGCAATTAGGCCCTGGACATGCATTCTAACTTAATTTTAGCCTCAGTCTTCTCTGATGGAAACCATGCTTTAAACATTTCACTCCCCACTAAACTCAGTTCATATCACAAATCCTCTTCAAAATAACAGATTTATTTAACCTTAAGTAAAATTAACCTTGGATTGATCCGAGGTGAATAAAGCATTTTAGTTATAAATGGAAAGCATTGAGTCTGCCATTTCTAGACCCATTTCTAAGATGCCTAGGATGCATTAGATAATTTATATAAAGTGATGTTGTGTAACTAATAAACACATATTCTACTGATGAAGTGTGTGTGTGTGTGTGTGTGTGTGTGTGTATGTGTGTGTTTGAAAGTTTGGCAGTTACACATACAGTCATATGCCACCTGCCACCTCCGTATTGTGCTGTAAGACTTCTTCAGTCATCCTTAAGGAAGTGTTTGATCCCTCTTTCTTGTTACATATAAAGACAATGCACTTTAAATACTACTTTAAAATCTGCATCAGCGTTATATGCCTGCTTGGCCCTAGGCTCCAGCTTCACCACATGATTTTCTCTCCAAATGAAATATACACACTACCTTGGGTTCTTCTGTGATTTTTCCTGTCTACTCACATTTCTTTATTTTTCACTCTTGGAATATCTGAATTCATCATGCATAATTTCTGCTGTTTCATGTACTTGAGGAATGCAAATATTTGAGATCTGCAGCTACAGACAAATCAATAGCCTTGTGGTTCCATTTGTTCCCTTCTAGCTTTTAATTCTGATTTTTGACAGTTTCTGAATATGGTAAGTTATAGCCCTGCATTACTAAGAGCAATAAAATATAAATATATCAATTCCTAATGAATTTAAATAACTTGTGAAATAAATCAAGGAGCCCGGAAAATTTAAATGATAAAATTTAAGGATGAGATTCATGTGCTATTTGCTGACTAATGTAAAAAAAAAATTCAACCTGTTTATGACTAATGTTAAATCTTAAAATTTAAATTGCACATGACCTTGGTCTGTTTTGTTTCACTATGATTATGACTAATCCCTCCCAAATTTATAACAGTTGAACTAATGCAATGTTGACTGTCAACAGTTGAATTCCTAAAACAAAAATAAATATGACTCGTTTCATTTAAGATGTAGATGGGATTCCATGGAAAAGGACAAAGATGGATGATTATGCTGTAATAGAATTGGTTGGTTGCCAGCGATAAGCTTCAATATAAGAGTGGCAGGTGCATTGTAGTGGAATGAACAATGAGCCTAGTGTCAAAATCTCTAACAGTATGACCTCGGTGGAGCCTGTTTTTGTTATCGAGGGTACATTTTTAATAGATGAGCCCCTCTGGGGTCTTGAGTAAAGTGAAGAATCATAAACACATTCACTATTAGAATCTGAGGGACTCTGTCATGTCGTCTTCCATACCGCTGGAGCTGGGTCTGCCTAGTTCCCGAAATGGACACTCCAAAAATATCTTATAGGAAAAATAAAGAAAATTCTTTCTTCCTGTGAAACCTTTCAGCCCTCTCCAATTATTGTCAAATACAGTGATTTTATTCAGGAGGATTCAGTCTGCTATTTTAACCTCTGGCTTTAATGCTAAGTATTCTAGCCTAATATTTATACTATGTATATTTTCTCAACGTCATCTACCAGTCAGTAGGGTACCTTGGTATTCATTTTCTTCTGAATTTATTTACTAATTCAACAAATACTTATTGAATTGTTTATGTGGCAGGAGCAGTGCTAAGTTCTGAGAACCCAAAAGTAAAAAAGGACAAAAAAAACCCCTATTTTAGGGAGCTTTAAAAATTACATGGATACATGTAAAATTACTATAGTAAGTGCTGTGAAGAAGAGATCCTGGTGCAGTCTATGCATATAATGGTAGCTTTTACTGATCATGGAGGTGAGACCAGGCTTTCCTGAGGAAGTAATTGTTCACCAGTATCTAAAGGATGAGCATGAGTAACTCGGTAAAAGGTTGGGCATGAGCATTTCAGGTGAAGAATATGACACGTGAAGCAGTCGTGTGTTTGAGAGGGGTGTGGTAAATGTAAAGTCAGTGTGGCCGCAGCTCAGAGAGGAAGAGGAAGGCTGGAGAAGTAGTGGTGCTACTAATGTTTAAACTCGTCCCAAAGGCAATGAGAAACCATCAACGTTTATTAGGCAGGGTTGAGAGTGGGTGAAGTGACATGATCTCTTTTGTATCTGACAAACCATCCTTCCTTGCATGCGGAGACTGGCTGCCTTGGTGGATGCAGGTGGACAAGGCAGCCAGTGGAGTGGTTGAGAGAAGAGATATTCACGGCTAAGATGATGGTGGTGGTGGAGGAAAGCAGGTGACACGAGTTTTTATTGGAGGATAAATTTGCTTAATTGTTAATTTAATTTATTTTTATTGATAAATAGTATTTGTACATGTTTATGGGGAATATGTCATATTTTGACCATGCATACAAATTGTAATGATCAAATCAGCATATTCAGGAAATTCATCACCTCAAACATTCATCACTTCTTTGTGTTGGGAACATTTCAACTCTTTTCTTCTAGCTGTTTTCAAATATACAATACATTGTTGTTAACTACAGTCATCATATTGTTCTATCTAACATCAGAACTTATTCCTTCTATATGAGTGTATGTATTTTTTTTTTTTAGATTTGGGGGATATATACATATATTTGTTTGTTAAATGGGTATATTTGGTGATGCTGGGATTTGGACTTCTAGTGAACCCATCTTCTAAACAGTGAACGTAGTACCCAGTAGGTAGTTCTTCAACCCTTTACTCCCTCCCTCCTTTCCTCCCCTCTTTTGGAGTCCCCATTGTCTATTGTTTTCACCTTTATGTCCATGTGTACCCATTGTTTAGCTCCCATTTATACATGAGAAAATGTGGTATTTGATTTTCTGTTGATGCATAAATTCACATAGGACACTGGCCTCCTGCTGCATCCATGTTGCTGCAAATGAAATGACTTTATTCTTTATGGCTGCATAGTATTCCATGGTCTATATGTACCACAGTTTCTTTATCCATTCCACTGTTGATGGATACTTAGGTTGATTCTATGACTTTGCTATTGTGAATAGTGCTACAATAAACATAAAAATGCAGGTGTCTTTTTGATAAAACATTTTTTTTTTTCTTTTGGGTAGATACTCAGTAGTAGGATTGCTGGGTCAAATGGTAGTTCTATTCTTAGTTCTTTGAGAAATTGAATTTGAGAATACATTTAGCAGGGCTTGGAGAGTGGGAGTTTAGGAAGCTGATGGTGAGGATCAGGGCAGATGACTGCCAGTATTGCTTGGAATATGTAAATCAACCATTGGAGAGGAGGGCAACATGTATAACATTATAGGAGCTTTTGACTGGTTTCTCTGCTTAGTAGGGAAGAAAATTCAGAAAGAACAAGTGTAGCTCCCCGATTCTGACTAAATTCACCCATAAGAAAGCCCCTAAAGTTTTCTGACCCTTCACTTTGCTGATGTATTTTATGCATATGAAATGATACAGGTGAAAACTCTTTGAGATGGATCATAATGTATAAATATAGGTTATTATAACATATTATAAATAATTGTATTACATTTTATATATTAAGTATACATATGTATATAAGGCATATGTGCTATTGCACTTTTTTATTGTATACATTGTATTGTTTTTTTCCTTCAAGAAGTTCATAGAATGACAATATTATTTTGTATTAAGAAAAAATCTGGACCAGGTGTAGTGGCTTGCTCCTGTAATCCCAGCACTTCAGGAGGCCAAGACAGGCGAATTGCTTGAGCTCAGGAGCTTGAGATGAACCTGGGCAACATGGCAAAACCTTGTCTCTACAAAAACTGCAAAAAAATTAGCTGGGTCTGGTTGCATGTGCTTGTAGTCCCAACTACTGGAGAGGCTGAGGTGAGAGGATCACTTGAGTCCAGGAGGTGGAGGCTGCAATGAGCTATGGTCTTGCTACTGCACTCAAGCCTGGGCAACAGAGTGGAGATTCTGTCAAAAAAAGAAAGAAAGAAAGAGAGAGGGAGAGAAAGAGAGAGATAATGACAGAGAGAGAGCAGGAAGGAAGGAAAGAAGGGAGGGAGGGAGGGAGGAAGGAAGAGATGGAGGGAGGGAGGGAAGGAAGGGAGAGAGGGAGGAAGGAAGGAAGGAAGGAAGGTGTGGAATCTAATCCTCAGATCTATTTCTTAACTATCTAAAAGTAGTGTGTTAATGGTGTGATGCTTATTTATTAAAACTGAATGAATGGATGGTAATTTTGTTAACATTTAGCTTTTAAAATCTAGTGAATATATGAGCTCATTTTACTATATAACACATTTAACATTTATAATTTTATTAAATTGCAAACAGACTCGTAAGTAGACTTTTCTTCTCTGTACCTTTGGCAACATATTTAGAAGGCAGTTAACCATCCATTGAGATGGAATATAAAGAGTAAGTCTGAAGTTTACATTTAGATTTTGACAGTCATCATTAGATTATGCAAATAATTAAAAAAAAACCTTACCTCTTGCTAGTATCTGTGCTCAGTGTCCTTCCAACTCCATTCCTTTCTTTCATGTTAACATATCAAAGCCAATGAGGAATTCTATGCTGTGCACAGAATGCCTTGTCTACCTATGGCAGCAAGGGCCACTCTGGGATATGATATAGTGGAAATTAAAGAAAAATCTGCCTTTACTCCAGTTTTAGGATGTTTTGAGGAGAGGAATGTAGATTCCATCTTCTCATACGGAGGTGTTCATTGGGGTTGTGGGAGAGGCCTTCTGTAGAAAGAGCTGAGGTCGGCTCCTCAAGGAGTTGGCATAGCAGGCTGCCCAGAATAAACTGACACCTGATAGATTGGAGTGTTCAGAGAGATGGAGGCTTCCATGGTTTTCTGACCCTGGAAGTATATTGAGATCCAGTGACATGCCGTGGGCCCAAAGGGGAGCACCCCACCCACCATGGAGATTGGGTTTAAAATGATGGGTCAGCTTCTAGACAAAAGACCTGGCAAAAACTTAGGGATCTGCAGCCAAGTGAGAGGCAAGAAGAGTGGCTGAGTCAAGGATGACAAGAGGGCTGATGTTCCCTGAGGTCAGAATGGTTGACAAAATAAGGGATTGGAGTGCTGTTCTAAGCACTTAACACATATTTAGTACACCTAATCTCTTTTCGCACCTATGAGGTAATTACTCCTAAAACTTCCATTTTGCAAATGAGAAAACTAAGTACAGAAAGGTTAAGTAACTTTCTCAGTATCACACAGCTAATAAATGGTAAGCCAGGATTTGATGTAGAAATCTGGCCAGCAGGCTGTGTTGCAACCACTATCCATGAGCACAAAATCCACGAGCCATAGCGAAGAGGCCAGCATTTTTAAAAATGGCCAAGTGGACCAGGGCTCCAATCCAGCCCTGTTTTTTTTTTTTATTGTTGTTGTTAGTTTGTTTTGTTTTTTTGAATAATGCTTTACTGAAACAAAGTCATACTAATTCATTTTTGTATTGCCAGTGGCTGCTATCCTGTTACAATATCAGAGTTGAGTAGTTGTAACTGACACCCTGCGGGAGGCAAGACCTCAAATATTCAGTATCTAGCCCTTGCAGAAAAAGTTTGTTGACTCTTGACGTGGGCAAAAATTATCAAAACCACCAACGAGAAGCACTCAATGAGAGACAAGGGAATTCCCCAATTCCAAGGGATGCAAAAAACCATCAATGTATTTTAGATGACTTTTTATCTGTAGAAGCAGAAGAGATCATTTTATCCATGGGCAACCCCATTATACCTGAAAAGACATTTAACTACTGGCTCGGCCTAAAGTGTAAACTGTAAACCAGATTGGATATTTAATCAAGGGGCTCAGAAAAAAATGACAGGAGTACACGTGTACACGCACACACACACACACCATGTGTTTGTGTATATACACACACAAAGAATGTCAACTATATATACAAATAAAGAAGTGTAAACACATTGTTAGTTTGGGGATTAATATTTGTTATGAGTTAGTATTTGTCTTATGTTAATAAAGAAATATTTATTTGAGATACCTGCTGAAATATTGATGGGTGAAATTGATATGCTGTCCTGAATTTGTCTTATTATAGCAAATAAAATATAAAATATGTTTGAGGAGTATGGTGCAAAAGAATAGCTAAATTAATGATCATTGTTGAAGCTAAAGTGATTAATAGATGATGGTTTCTTATACCATTCCTTTTACTTTTGTGTGTTTGAAAATACCCATAATCAAAAGTTTTAAAAATTGCAATGTAAATTATTTAGACAGTTTTCATATTTTACCATGAAGTGAATACAGAAAAATTAAGTGATTTCATTACACTCTTGCCATAATGTTCATCCCTTATTTTCTTTGTACTATCGGGAAAGAACTAGTGAATTGGTTCGAGGCATAGCTAAGAAAAGAAGATGAGACACCTATTGGGGAGTTAAAAATTACTTAACAAATTTGTTTTGCCCTGTTTGCCGTCACCACAAACATGAACTGAAGTGCGAGGAGTGGCAAATGGTAGGGAAATTTATATCTACAGAAAATCACAAGCTAATAAAGAGTTCCCTAATGGATTCTCTTAGATTCCCAGTAGGTAGATTATGAAATGGTTGAATTTCACATCAAACCCATTGGAAGGGTGGCAGATACTCTCTGAGTTAAAAACACACACACACACAAAAACACCTTTCAGCCTGGTGCAGTGGTGTCCACTTGTACTCCTATAGTCCCAGCTACTCAGGAGGCTGAAGTGGAAAGATTGCTTGACCCCAGGAGCTCAAATTCAGCCTGGGCAACCTACCAAGACCCCCATCTTTAAATTTAAAAAGAAGAAGAAGAAGAAAAAAAGAAAACAACTTTTAAAGATAATGTTCCTGTCCTTAAAATGAGGAGATTAAATGTGCATTAAAATATCTCTTGCAGCAAGTAATTTGGATATATTTCATCAATATGTAATATTTGTGCTGTGTTTTAACAGTGGCGTGTGACATCTGTTGAAATAAAAGTTTTGTTATGTCAGTCAAGCTGACAGTAAAAAGACTGCAGAACAGTTTTCTGACATGCTGCCCTACCAATTTAGCCCTGGCACTATAATTTCCATTTTGATTTCCAATTTGATCCAATGATTATGCATTCCTGCATTCTTAATTTTCAAGTGTTTATGATTTCTCGATGTATTAAAATATTTATGTCTCTATTTGAAGAACTAAAATTTTCTATGAATAAATAGCCATTTATTCTTTTAACAAATACTGTCTTGTGCCAGGCACTGTTGCAGGCACGACAGCAATAGGAAGGAACAAGACAGAATCCTACTCTTTTAAATGAAATTGCTGCTATAGTATTCACTACAATATAGGGTAGATGAATTTATCTACATCCTAGTATGGTTTCTGTTTACTGATACTAATCTATTCTGAAAGAAGCAAATTAAAATCTCCCACTACAATTATTTTTATCACATTTTCTTTGCATTTTTTGATTTATACATTCAGTTTCCATTTTTATTTATATGTATATGTATACACATATATTCCTATATATATATATATATATATGTAAATAGTTGCCTTTATTTTTAATAAAGAAGCACTTTACCCTGATTGTACTTTTAAGCTTAAATTCCACCTTGTCTGACCCTGATATTGCTAATTATGTTACTGTTACTAACTTTTGTTTTGGCCTGCTGTATTGTTGCCCAGGCCTTTATTTAAGCTATTGATCATCACATCACTTTTTTGTGTATTTCTTTTTGGAAATAACAAATGGCTTGGTTCTGTTTAACAATCTTAGTTAATAGACTACCTTTTGATATGAAAATTGACTCCATTTAGAGAAAAGGTGGCAATATGTGTAATTTTTCTCTTTCTGTTTATTTTATGTTATACTTTTTACTGTATGTTTTCTTTTGCCCTTTCCTATTTTTTTTTTCAACTTGGTCAAAATACTATTTTTATTTTCCTACTTGATTGTTTAGCAGTTCTGTTTTTGACTCCATTAAAGGTTACCATCTGCAGCAGAAAAAGTTAATGTAGTACTTTACATGAAATTTTTGCTGAAACCTGTATTTATTTTACTAGCATTACTTATGTAAGAAAGGAAGAAGTTATTGCAAAAAAAATCTATATCATACCCACAGTTGCATATAGCAATTTATATTAAAGTTAATTACAATTTAAACGTCCATTCCTAGCCACAATTTATCAGTAATCATACGTGTTTGTTGGCTACCATATTGTTAATAGTGCAGATTTAGAGAACATTTTGATAGTCACATAAAATTCTGCTGAACAATAATAGTATACTTTGTATAAACTATATATACCATGTATATACTTTGTATACTATAATGCATACATTTTGTAAGTTTGGGAGGTAATTGTTAGTAGGTTAAATATTAATGATTAATAAAAAGTTCAATTTCCTAATACAAACATGAAAGGGCAATACAATTTCACATCACAGACCTTTTAAAATAACATCAGAGTTTAAGTGAGGATTATTTAACAATAAATTATTTAAGTTAATGAAGGATATCCCAAGAGAACTTCTTGCAAACAAACTAGCCAGGACTCAATTTCACGATGACAAGATTTCGAGTAACTTTAAATGTGACAAGAAAGGACGTTTGCCCCAATGTGTCTAATGCATATACACTTAATGTCCTTAAGATATTGGACTTGTAAATAGTCTGAAGCTTTTGCCATTATTTCAATAATGGGTCCTAGTGTCTAGCTTAAGGCAATGTATTCTTAAGGCACTGGTGTCAATGGTTTTTCTGTTTTTTAAGATGATTCATTATCTGTTCAATGAAACATGTGGCCTCCAGTATCAACCACAATTTTATCTGAAGTTGGTGACAATTTGGAAACTCTACATTGTATTTCACTTTTCTAGCATTAATAATCAAACACATATCTCTCTACTATTAGATGGAAATATCTCTATTTTCTTCACCAAATACTTTCAAGGCTGTTTCTCCCACTCAAGTAAGATAAACTTTAAAATAGGCTTGATGTTCACTCCATCTTCCACCTCAAAGCCTGGGTTTTATTAAAATAGTTCAGTAGTTCTATAGTCCAGAATACTTTAAGATTATCCTGTCATTACACCTCTTAATTTGAAAAATCTCATATATTTCCAGATAGCCTATGCTTATTCATTTACATACTACTGTGCGTGTATAAACACACACACACACACACACACGGAAGGACACACAACCTACCACTCTTCCCCCTTATCCTCTCCAATTCATCTGAGGACTCTATTATGATTTGAGTGGGGAGGTGTTCTTATATCATTCCTTGAATATTGTCATCTGATGTGGTCAGTGACTGATAAAAATGTTTAAAGTCATAGTCTTTGTAATTACAAAATTAGAAAAACACTTAAACACTGTTAATTAGAAGATGAGTATAAATGCGCTGGGTAAATGTGCTGGGCACGGTGGCTCACACCTGTAATCCCAGCACTTTGGGAGGCCGAGGTGGGTGGATCATGAGGTCAGGAGTTCAAGACCAGCATGGCCAAGATGGTGAAACCCTGTCTGTACTAAAAATACAAAAATTAGCCGGGCGTGGTGGCGAGGGCCTGTAATCCCAGCTACTCGGGAGGCTGAGGCAGAGAATTGCTTGAACCCGGGAGGCAGAGGTTGCAGTGAGCCAAGATCACACCACTGCACACCAGCCTGGGGGACAGAGCAAGACCCTGTCTCAAAAAATAAATAAATAAATAAATAAAAAAGAAGATGAGTATAAAGGAACTTGGTTCCTTCCTTATGGATGTTTAGCTTGTTTAAAATGTTGCTATCACAAGCAATGTAACATGAATGACATTGTCATTTCCTGTGTAGGCCAGTATGCCTAGGATACAATCCCAGAAGTAGAATTGGGGTATAAGAGTGTGGGTTTGTATATTTTTATTAGATAGTGCCAAATTGTTTTACAAGGGTTTCTACAATCAACATTTCCACTAGAAATATATGGAAATCCCTGTCTTCCTGCAACAATTTTGGAGGTTTGGATTTTTAGAGCCAATCTGATAGGTAAAAAATTGTATCGCTGTGCAATTTAAACTTATTTTTTCTTATTTTGAATGTGACTGGAATCTTTTCATATGTCTAAGAGTCATTTGCAATTGCTGTTTCATAACTTTCTATTTCTTAGCCCATATATTTTCTCTGACCATTGTCTTTTTCTTGTTTTCCGGGAGCACTTGACCTATTAGAAACATAAACTCTTTGCAGAGTAATTTATAGATAAAAATTATTTTTCCAGTTTATCATTTGTCTTTTGATTTTACTTGCAGGGTTCTTTTTCCACTGAGCATTTTGAAATATTTTTGTAGTTGAATTTATTTCTTCTTTATTTTTCCTTTCTCTCTTTCTTTCTTTTAGAGTTTCTGGATTTTGAGACATTGTACTGTATTGGTCAGGATAGGTGAGGTTATGCTATTCCTAGCTCATGTGGTTGTTGGCAGAATTCAATTCCTTGCAGCTATAGGACTGACATCCCTGTTTTCTTGTTAGTTGTCAGCCTGGGGCTAATATGAATTCCCAGAGGACCATGAAATTCCCTACCATCTTTCTTTTGATTACCTTAAAACCAACTGATCAGTGACTTTAATTACATCTGGGAAATTCTTTTACTTTAGCCATATAATGTAATCCAATCATGGGTTGACATTCCATCATATTAACAGGTTCCCTCTATACTCAAGGGGAGGGATTATACCAAGAATCTTGGGAGCTATCTTAAAATATTGACTATCACAGATCTTCTTGAAATTTCTCATCTTCTGGTTTGCATGTTTATTAAGTCATCAGATTCCTCTTTTTTTTTTTTTTTTTTTTTTTTTTTTTGAGACAGAGTCTCCCTCTGTCGCCCAGGCTGGAGTGCAGTGGTGCGATCTCAGCTCACTGCAAGCTCCGCCTCCTGGGTTCACGCCATTCTCCTGCCTCAGCCTCCCGAGTAGCTGGGACTACAGGCGCCCACCACCACGCTCGGCTAATTTTTTTGTATTTTTAGTAGAGATGGGGTTTCACCGTGCTAGCCAGGATGGTCTCAATCTCCTGACCTTGTGATCCACCTACCTTGGCCTCCCAAAGTGCTGGGATTACAGGCTTGAGCTACCGCGCCCGGCCCAAGTCATCAGATTCTTAAAGCAGGTTTATAATGTATTTTAATATCTGATAGGACCAGCTCTCTTGTTGCAATTCACTGGCTTATATTTATTTGATAAAATTTCCATATGGGTTTTAGAATAAACTTACCTTGTTCAAAAACCCCTTTAGAGAATTTTATAAGCATCATGATAAGATATACATGTTAACTTATGGAGGAGTGGCATGTAAGTGATGGAGAGGTTTCCTTTTCAATAAAATATTGAATTTCCATTTACTCAGACTCCTTTGGTTTCAATTAATAGCTTTTTAATTTTTTTCTTATTATGGTTCTTATGTTTTATTTGTTTTGAGATATTTTATCTTTTTGTTTTGATTACATGTGGAATATTTTACTAATATATCCTATAGGTATTATTATTTTCTTAAAAGCAAGCTACTGAATTCAGCATATTCATTATATACAGTAATTTTTCAGTTCATTCTCTTGGATTTTCTACTTATACAATTCTAACTGCTGTAAATAGTGACAATTGTTCCTCCTCCTTAATTTTTTTGTACATCCAATTTCTTTCATTTTCTAACTGACTGCTACTAAAATATAATTTTAAAGAATACTGGTGACTGGGGATATTGTTTTCTTCTTCTCACCCTAGTGGGAATACCTGCAAGGTTTGACATTAACCATGAAGCTATTCTAGGCTGAGAGAGATATATTTATCTGGGAAAAGCTAGTATCCATCTGTTACTGTTTTATTGATTTTTTAAAAATAAATAATTATTGTTGAACTATGCCAAATGTATTTTAAAGCATCAGTTGAGATGATTACCTAATATTCCTTCTTGAACTTATTAATATGACTTTATATAAATAGATCTTTGATTATTGAACTATGCTTGGATTATTTGTATTAACACTTGATCATGATGTATTATTCTTTTTACATGCTGCTGCATTCAGTTTGCTGATACTTTATATGGGGCTTTCACATTACAATTATTAGGTAATATTGGTGTATAATAGATCTTGATCAGGTACTGGAACGACTATTAATAAAATATTTTTAAACTAATTCAAAAAGTGTTCTTTTATAGTCTAACACTGTTTGAATAATATGATAATCTACTTTAAAAGTCTGGCAGAATTCGGCCGAGTGCGGTGGCTCACGCCTGTAATTCCAGCACTTTGGGAGGCCGAGGCGGGCGGATCACGAGGTCAGGAGATCCAGACCATCCTGGCTAATACGGTGAAACCCGTCTCTACTAAAAATACAAAAAAAATTAGCCAGGCGTGGTGGTGGTCGTCTGTAGTCCCAGCTAATCGGGAGGCTGAGGCAGGAGAATGGCGTGAACCCAAGAGGCAGAGCTTTCAGTGAGCCGAGATCGCGCCACTGCACTCCAGCCTGGGCGACAGAGTGAGACTCCGTCTTAAAAAAAAAAAAAAAAAAAAAAAAAAAAAAAAAGTCTGGCAGAATTCTTCCATGGACACATTCCATCCTATTGCTTTTTTTGATGGGACAGGGAAGGGTTCTTTGACAACTTCATATATTTTGTCTGTTTAGATTTTGAATCTTCCCTTAGTGAGTTTTGGTAAATTGTGTTTTTCTAGACTATTATTCACTTCATCAAGCTGTAGCTCTATGAAGTTTTGATATCCAGTACCAGTCTTTAAAATACTTGATTTTAATTTGCAATTTCCTCTGACATAAAGTTACAAACTTAATTTTTTAAATTCCTAGTTGTCTTCTCGGTTAGTCATTAATTTCTTATTTTATCACTTTTTTTGAAGAATACTCTGTGCATTTTCATATGTTTTGGGTGCTATTGTCAATTTTTGTTAATATCCGATAGGCACATAAAAATTGTACTCTCTATTAAAGGGCAAATGTTTTATACACACACATATATACATAATGATAAACATATAGGTGTGGTATGTGACATATCTATATATGTCAATATGATCTATCTTATTATTTATTCTTTTCCATATTTTTAAGTCCTTTTATTCACCTGTGTAATTATCTGTGAGAGATAAGTTAAAATCGCTCATTAAGGAAGAGGAGAAAATTAACTTGGTTCTTTCCTGTTCAAACTCATGTTTACTTTTATGATTAAGAGACAGAATTTGACATGAAGTCACTGGTTCATATTTTTTTCATTGTGTATATCGTAGGTTGTTACATTATGTGGAGAAATCCAAGATTAGTATGATATTTTCCTTTTTAAAAATTCGGAAAGATATATTTTGGGCAATGAGGCCAAAATTATCAAGTCATTTAAAAATTCCAAGACTTTACCAGGATGTTTCACAGTGTTGACTATTTGAACCAGTTTCCTCAAGCACTAAAACATTTTCAATTTTGAGTCATCTTCCTTATTTTTCAACATTTTCTTATTAAAATATCTGTAATATTTATTAGGTTGGTGCAAAAGTAATTGCAGGTTTTGCCATGGGCCATTTTTCCCTCCAATTTCATCTTTTTTTTTTCCTGTCATTTAAAAAAATCTTCTATTTTAATTATTTTCCCTGAATTTTGCCAGCTAATATTTAGATGGCATCTCTGGATGGTTTCACTATTTTTTTCACATTTTTTTTTACATTTATGCTGTGTAGGTTTTTTTCTTTATAAATGTTATTACTTCGTTAATTTATTATGAATTCTTAGCTAAACATTTGGATACTTTTGCTTTATATCAGTATTTCTCACTTGTGAGTGATCTACATCAAATGATAAATTCCAATGCTATTTTTGATATTTTTTCTTAAAATATTATAAATTCTACTTAGTTTGAGGGCTACTTCCTCAAAATCTCATCTCTTATTCCAAACAAGAAGTATAGTTTTTGAACTCCGAGTTGGCCCCTTATCTTCAAGAAGGCATTGATTTATTGATTGATTGACTGATTGAGACAGAGTCTCCCTCTGTCGCCCAGGCTGAATTTGGGATGACAGGCACACACCACCATGCCTGGCTAAGTATTGTATTTTTAGTTAAGAGGCAGGGTTCCACCATGTTGGCCAGGCTGATCTCAAACTCTTCACCTCAAGTGCTCTGCCTGCCTTGACCTCTCAAAGTGCTGGGATTACAGGCATGAGCCACCATGCCCAGCCAGAAGGCCATTTTTGATGGGGCTCTCTGAGATTTTTCTGCTTCTGGGCTCTCTTGTAATATCCCGTATGGCTTCTACTTGATTCAGCTATTTTTGGAAGCCCTTACTGATATTTTTGAATATGCAGATTGGAATTGTCACCTAATGTCCCTGAAAATGGATTTTGTGTATATTAACATTGTTTGTGCTGCATCTTTATGATTACCAGAAAAATTATAGGGAAAAACTAGACATATGCAGCCATGTTTATACCAATATTCCTCCTGTTTTTTAGTTCAAGTATTAATATGTAACTCTCAGAAGCTGTATTTTATTAGGATCTTTCCTGAATGTTCCACTTGCTCTGATTTTCTCTGGCTGCAGGGCTTCTCACATGTGCTAGGATTTTCTTTTCTCAGCTCTCTGGGACTCAGGCTGAGCTCCACCGTACCTTAAGCTAGAGCCGTGCGGTGGGTGGCAGGAAGTGCTGTGGTTTCCTCCACCTGATATAGTGAAAGCAGCGTGGGTTCTCTACTAAGGAGCCAGGAGAAGCCTCTGTTTTCCTTCTCTTCCAGAGGTTTCAGCCTAAGGTATAAACAAGACTTATCACTGGTTTATCTCTCCCTCAACTGTTTGGAAGCTACTGAAATCAGGTATACTCATATGGAATGATACCATCATTTTTCTTCTTGGGATCCATACTTTAATGCAAGACAGGTCTTGCCAATATCCACTACTATTGCCCTCCCCTTGGAATTCTCCATCATTAATTCCTAAGATCCCGTCAAGCTCTGAATAGAGAAGCTTTCGGGACTGAAGGAGAGCACAGATGTATTTAAGCCACGATCGCCCATTCTCCCTCCTAATTTTGCCTATGAATGGGTTTTATACAAATTGTTATGAGATTGAAGAACTAGTGAAAAATTAATTGGTACTAGTTTTTAACACACTTCTCTATACTTATAAACTTCCAGGGGTGAAATTTGAAAGGAAAATATTTGTTCTGCCACTTGTAGTATTTCAAAGTCTTGCAGTATTTTGAAGTCTCCTAGTTACATTGAGGGTGATTATACTTCATTTTACAAATTGCTTTGCATTACAAAAAAAAAAAAATAGGTTTACAGTCTCTTAAGAAGCCCTTCACTGATTGGCTAATGGTTTCTGATGGTCTGTAGGGTCTAAATTTGAGCATCTGGGAGAATACCACTTTCTCTATCCAAGCTGCCTAGCTGCAGGGAAAAGAGGGTAGACAGTAGCCTGACTTCCAGGGAAATCATCTGTATTGCAGGTTAGGGCCAAAGTAGGTCAGTAAGAGTAGGGAGGCTAAAAAATTGACTGAAACAAAGAGGTGAGTAGCAAGCAATTATTAGGAGCAAAAACAAAGTCCTGGAATCACAGTGTCGGGGAGGTAAGGATCCAGGGTGAAGGTGTGAGCAGGTAAATTGGAAGGTGTTCTAAGCCAACATGTAAACTCAGCATCTGCCAATGCAATTTCTCCCAATACTGTCCTTCCTTGAATGTTTGTTAGCTTATTATTTTAATGGCAACATCAGCTTCAACCTCTCCTTGTCTCTTAACCCACTTAAACAATATGTGGCCATTCTATCTCCAAATTATTTCCCCAACCACACTCCCCTTCCTACTTTTGCTGTAACTTCCTTTTCCATCCTCCATTATGTCTCCTGGAAAATTGCCGTCATTCCCTTAACTGGTTTCTTCAGAAGCCTCCAGTCTCTCCCTCCCATCCATCCTTCTCAATGCTGTCAGAGTAATCTTTTCATGTAAGAGTGACCTCCAATTGTAAGCGCGACATTGCTGCAATATCATTTATCTCCATCATTATTGCAGTTTGTATTTTGCGATTGGAAGGATGGGGCAGGCACCAAAAAGGTGATGTGACTTGTGCTGTATTTTCCGAGTAAGTCCAAGAGGTGAATTATGGATTTTTCTACCAGGCTGACTCAGGTTGAATGCTGTTCATTTCTGGGTTTGTGTCTATTATCCTGCAAATAACGAATACCCCTAAAATGTTAGTGTGCAATTATGCCATTGGGATAGAATAATTCTCTACAACATAAAACAGTTTTTATACAACTATGAAAGTAGTCTGGAGATTTCAACTTTCATTCAAACAAAATTGAAAGAAAATGAATAACGTTGAGACAACTGAGCACAAAAGAATAATATCGTATTTTCCAAAATATACACATCAACCACTTTAGGCTATTGTATGTGAAAGGGCCGTAAGGGTAGCTGGGTAGAATATGCCCAAAATTTCTTCCAATCATTTTTTTTTCATTGCGAAATACCGTAAGAACTCTATCCAGGGAGGGCGACTACATTTTTGGCAGGGACAAGATACAAAAACTAGAGAGATAGTTGTTCATTCTTTGAGCAGCAATAAAAAATTCAGTCTTGCTCTCTCTCTTCCCCTCTCTTCCCTCTCTCCTCTCTCCCTCATTCTACTCCCTTAGAATACTTGTAAGATGTCATATGTAGGTAAAAGGAATACATCATCAGACAAGTATGAGCACTGGAAATTAGCCAATGTAGCCAAACTTGGGGAAATTTATGTGTTGCTTACTCTAAGATTGAGGCAAATGAGAGTGACAGTTCTTTCCAGCTCCTCCCCTGATTACTGATGAGGTATTACTCTCTGAGTTGCTCTAAGATTGAGCCAAATGAGAGTGACAGTTCTTTCCGGCTCCTCCCCTGGTTACTGATGAGGTATTACTCTCTGAGTTGCTCTAAGATTGAGCCAAATGAGAGTGACAGTTCTTTCTGGCTCCTCCGCTGGTTACTGATAAGGTATTACTCTCTGAGTTGCCTAGTAGTAAAGAGGAAGTGCGGTCATCTAGCATCATTCAGGAGGTGAATTTATAATGGTTCCTCATTGTTTAAAGCAATCTTTTATTTCTATTAAATGTCTATACTTTTATCTAAAATAATCATCTTTAAATAACTGAGATCATACAACATTCCCTAAGTGCTCCTGTGTAGCACAATGTTATGACCTCTTCTCTTGTCTTCTTCTCTTCTCCACCTGTATAGAGATAGTGACAAATCAAGTCAATATCTGTGAAACAAATGTTCTCATGATTGGTAAAGCACTCACTGGCTGTGCTGAAATCTGGGTATATTTATTTTTCATTATAGCTAAATAAAATAAAAAACCGAATAGCAACAACAACAACAACAAACTCACAAAAATCTGGAAGATAGGAATGTTCAGTGTGGCAGGTAGGATCAGGAAAGCAGATGAGTAAGTGTGCTCTTGCTGACCGATATTTACCAAGCACTTTCCAGGAGCCAGATAGTAGGTACACTCCCTGCATTAACTCATTTAATACTCACACCAAATCTATGAAGGAGGGTTTACTATTGCCACCACTCCCCCAGTTTCTTATAGACAAAGAAACTGAGGCATAGAGAGGTTAATCATTTTGCCCACAATCATTCAAGTAGTAAATGGTAGACCTGACGTTCATTTCCTGTGATCTTGATCCTCTCCATAAGATGAACTCAGTCTTATAGATGCTTTTTCAACCACCTCATCGTGATTACAGAACATTCTGGCTCTATTACTTTGAACAAATTATTCAACCTCTCTGCCAACTCGGGACAATAAGACATATATGACACATGATCTTCAAATGTGTGAAGATTCAGTGATGTAACAGGTATAAAGTGTTCAGCACAGAAGCCTGGTGCAGGCCAGGCACTCACTAAATATTGGTTGTCTTTTAGAGTGATTTTCTTCTACCTGAATACTCCTAAGCAAGGGTATTTTCTTCTTTATTTTATATCAGTGATAGTTAACAGAGGGCATCTCACACAGGAAACGATCAAAAGAAAGGAAGAATTAGAGGGAAGGCTTGATTTACATAAGTGTTGGAAGCTGGCGTTTCTGAAGAGGCCATTGAAGGCATACTGTCATATCTGAGTCTATAATGAAGACCAGAATTTTAGCAAATAACTTGAGAAAGTGTCCAAGCAAGCAGCAAAACTTATCCCTAGAAAAACTCATATATAAAAAGGTTGGCAGAAAATCTGAAATGCCATCAAGCAGGAGATAAAGATTTGGTACATTTCCATGGTCCATTTTCAATCTTTTTACCTGTATCTTCTACCTCACCAGCTCCTAGCTCCTGCCGTGAAAGTTTGGGCCTGAAAGGCAAGAATGCAATGTGATTGTATTCACACCAAATTGTAAATGTTGGGCTTCTGTTCTTTCCTTAGATTTGTTTTGATTTTGTACTTGGATTAGGGGGTATTGCAAGATGGCACCTAGTGTATGAAAGCTATTAATTGCCAAGTAGGGGCAAAAGATCAAAAACGAAAAAGAAAAATTGTAGTAAAAAATCTCTTTAGCAAGAGAGCTTAGATAAATTACAACTCCCTTAGAGCTTTCTTTTTTTTTTCTATTTGTACAGCATTAGTAATTTTTGCTCAATCAAAAGACTATGCTGAATAAATGGTGTTCATGAAAATGGATTGATAATTGAAAATGGATTGATAATTAATTGTTGGCTGTCAACGGTGGCTCATGCCTGTAATTCCAGCACTTTGGGAGGTCAAGGCAGACGGATCGCTTGAGCTCAGTAGTTTAAGACCAGCCTGGCCAACATGGTGAAACCCCTTCTCTACCAAAAATACTAAAAATTAGCAGGATGTGGTGGTGCACACCTGTAGTCCCAGTTACTTGGGAGGCTGAGGTGGGACGATTCCTTGAGCTATAGAGGCAGAGGTTGCAGTGAACCGAGGTTGCGCCACTGCACTCTACCTGACAGAGCGAGACCCTGTCTCAAAAAAACAAAAAAATTAGCTGGGCATGGTGGTGTGTGCTGGTAATCCCAGCTACCTAGGAGGCTGAGGCAAGAGAATCGCTTGAACCCAGGAGGCAGAGGTTGCAGGGAGCCGAGATAGTGTCACTGCACTCCAGCCTCGGTGACAGAGCAGGACTCCATCTCAAAAAAATAAATAAATACAAATAAAAAATAAATAAATAAAATAAAAATAAATAAATGGAATTGTTGCGATTATCATTATGATTATTATGTCATCTTTTAGTTGAGCCAATCCTGAATGTATTTAATGTATTAGTCCTATGCTTTAAGGCAGGGCTTGGCTTGTGCTGCCTGGACACCAAAGGTCTCAGATGCCATCTCCTGAAATGACCCTACCCAGGACACCAGGAAACAGCTGCATGGCCAGTCCTGACCTCTCAAAAAGCAACCGTAGCCCATAAATAGCCTGATGATGGATGTGGGAATGAGCTGGGACCTCATTCCCAGGTCAGATTCTATGTGAATATGGGTTCTGGTTTCCAACTATGTCAGGGCCAGCAGATATGAGTTTGTGTACTACAAGTCAACATTTGGGAGGCCTTTGTAGAGCTGACTCCACATCCATTTTATCCTCTCTGGCGATTGAAGGCTTGGGGGAAAACAGAAGAATGGCTAAATGAGCAGTGCTAAGTCTTGTATGAGTAAGATGGAACAGTTCAAGAAAGACAATTCTATGTGCTTGAGCATCATCTCTTTGATTCTGACCCATTTTTTCCACTCTCCTGTTTTAACCTGTCTTCTATTAAAAAAGAAGTGAATTAAACTGTTTTGAAATATGAGCTCTGCTACTTACTAACCAGCTATATAGCCTTGGGCAAGTTACTTGACTTCTCATTTAGTTCATGGGTAAAGTAGAGGAGGATCATAATAGAACCTACTCAGGCTTCTAAGGAGAAACAAGATAACCTAGCAAAGTCCTCAGCACAGATTAAATAATAAATATTACCTCTTGTGAATTTTTCATTTGTAAGGAAGCATTTTATCCCCTATTTTCTCTCATTAGCTTGACAACAGAACTTTAATCCACATGAGTTGATGCCCTATAATAGAGGAGTTGTGGGTTGATGTTATTTTAAAATTCTAACCACATTTCCTCATCTTTTGATGACACTTCAAACTTTTCATTCATTAGCTTGGTATTGTCAAGGCTTCTAAAATTGCCAGATGTCAGGTTTTAATTTGCAGGGACCCCGGAGATCATCTCATCCAACCCTCTCAGTTTTATAGTGGGAAATTAATTTAAAATTTAAAAAAAAAATGACTGACCCATTTGTTTCCAGCATTCTGTAACTGCATTAAAAAATAAATAAATAGGCCAGGCACAGTGGCTCACGTCTGTAATCCCAGCACTTTGGGAGGCCGAGGCAGGTGGATCACGAGGTCAGGAGATCGAGACCATCCTGGCTAGCATGGTGAAACCCCGTCTCTACTAAAAATATTTAAAAAATTAGCCGGGCATGGTGGCGGGCGCCTGTAATCTCAGCTACTCCAGAGGCTGAGGCAGGAGAATGGCGTGAACTGGGGAGGCAGAGCTTTCAGTGAGCTGAGATCTCGCCACTGCACTCCAGCCTGGGTGACAGAGCGAGAGTCCGTCTCAAAACAAATAAACAAAAAAACAATAAATAGCAATAAAAGAGTTCACGGGAGGTAAGCTGCCCCAGGTTCTGTCCCAGGTCCTTTGGTTCTGTCCAAAATTTATGCCATTGGTTATGTCACTCTTAACTCTCTAGGACCTCATTTTTTACACTATAAACTGATAAATTTGACAATCTCTAGCTGAATGTATATGTGTGTGTCTATTTACCTGTATATTTACCTGAATTATGGTAATAAATATAGATACAGATTTTTGTTATACCACCCATTATCAGCATAATGCAATTTCCATACTGTATTTATGGTCCATGGTTAAAATGATGTGTATACACATGTGATGTTTTAATATATTAGAGCTCATTTCAAAGAAAGGCAGTGCAAGGTCTGTTATTAGCAATGTGTGGGGTCTTTTAAAGTCAACACCTGGTGAAAATCCTCACTGCCCGGAGTACTTTTGAAACTCCTTTTCTGAGCCCTTTGTGGAGCCTGAGGCACACTGTTCTCATGCTGCTTATTGAACAGCAGAGCTGATCTTTGCCTTTCAGGAACGATTTCAGTTTTCAAAATAGCCTAAAGTAAAATAAGCATAGCAATCAATATGGGCAAAACTACATTTAGTCAAAGGCCAGCTGTGTCTAGCAGATAAAACGACATGATCTTCTTGTGTAGATCTTACACTGAAGCTGGCAGGAAATTAGAAGGCAGTGGCTGCTCCTGTGTGAATAGTGCCTCCAAAGGTGCCGTCTTTGAAGGATGACATTACTTTGGGAACATGGGTGCATTCTGCTAAAACTGTATGATTATTATCTTATGATCGTATCTCTGTGTCAAAGACAACAGAATCATATACGTTTGTTGTTTTTTTTTTTTTTTTGAGACGGAGTCTCACTCTGTCGCCGAGGCTGGAGTGCAGTGGCACCGTGTCGGCTCGCTGCAACCTCCGTCTCCTGGGTTCAAGCAATTCTCCTGCCTCAGCCTCCCAAGTAACTGGGATTACAGGTGTCCACCACCACACCCGGCTAGTTTTTATATTTTTAGTAGAGACAGGGTTTCACCATGTGGCCAGGCTGGTCTTGAACTTCTGACCTTAGCCTCCCAAAGTACTGGGATTACAGGTGGGAGCCACTGCGCCCGGCCCATATATGTGATTTTTACCATTTGTCCATAGTCGCAATAGGAAGGATGAGGGAGATTTTTGGCCTAGCATAATTATTCTAAGGAAATTCAGTTCTGACCACAAGCAATGGTGTTGTTAGTGTGAGAACCTGGTGCTGTGACTGGGGCATTCCCTCAGAGACTTCTACTTGTGCCTTCTCTCTCCTATGTAGGAGATCTCAACCCCCGCGAAAAGAGTGCATTGCATTTTTACTTTGAAGAAGTTTGAGAAAGAATTACTTACAACATTATTATTAAGAACTTAGAAGAATATTCAAAACACTCCTATAACTAACGTAAGATTATAGCAATCAATGTGCTGGAATACAAGGACACTCTGGTGTTGGGAACGACTGCATTAACAATCATAAATTAAGTATACAATTTGTTTTGTCCCCCAGTGAATTCTATGAGGAGATATACTTTAAAGCCAGTCCTGTTGAAAACCCTGATGTCTTATGAAAAAAAGTAGAAAATTGAAAGAACACTGACCTGGATTTCAAATTCAGTAGCTGCTGCTTTTATTTGAACAAATATTTTTGCCTACGGACCCTTTTTTCCCCCTCCTGGTAAAATGAAGGGGTGGGACCAGAAACCTTCTTTAAGTGACAGTCCACTGTGGCCCGCATTACACATAAGGCCTTGCTCCTGGCCGCACTTCTGTCATTTGCTCCATTTTGTCTGACAGAAACGGGCTAAGATTTCATTTCATAAAACAAAACAAAAAGTGTTTCTACTTCTAAAAAGGAAAAAGTTGAAAATCTCTTCCCAAGTTCCCTTATGTCCTTGTTTTCCTGTAGAGAAGGTGGTGCTTTCATCTTTCCTAGGCCGAGCTGTAGGTTCAATTTTCTATAATTTCAGAAAAGCAGAGCTGGGTTTACCTATGGAGCAAGAGAATCTTGGCAGGAGGAAACCATGGAGCAGATTCCAGGCTTCTTACTCAGCACTGGGAGGCGAAGAACTTGTCACCCTTGAGACCCTCTCCTCTTCAGTCTAGCTCATGTGTTCAGCGTGCAGGTCATTTGTGCCAATTAGCTTACCTTTCCAATCAGCTGGTTGTGACCTGTCATTGTTGCCAGCTCCCAAAATTGGAAGGTTTTCTTCCTAAAATATCAGTCCTATGCTTTCCAGAAAGGTATAGAATGTGCAGTGTCTTCACAGCCTGTAGAATGTGTAATCCCTCAAGTGAGATTACAGAAGACAGAGATTTCAAATTCAATATGTCTAAGGTAGAATAGATTTTTTTTTTTTTTTGCTGTAACAGGCATGAATTTCGTGTTTCAATGATACAACAGTAATCTAGTTTGCCAAGCTAAAGATTTGGACACTATTTTATTTTCCTCATCTAAATGTCAGATCCAGGAAGAAAATGAATTTTTTTCTCTTTAGTCCTGTCCTCAATACCTAGAAAGGTATTTGGCACATTACTGGAATGACATATTTGGTGAGTTAATGAATAAATTAATATTCTTCTCTTTAGGTCATATTCTACATCCAGTCTTCAAGAATTGTCTATGTAGTTTCAGGTCTTGTTTGCAAACCCTTCTATCCTTTCAGTCTGTGCTGCTGCTCACTGATTGTTCTCTTTCTTACCTCTTCCTTGGATTATCACAATTTTCTCCTAAGTCACCTACTTTCAGCTGCTTCTGGCCAATAGGCTCTCCATACTGCTTCAAGAGTGCTGGATGAAACATAGCATATGATCATGTTTGTGGCATCACAGGTGGTTTATGTTCTTAGAGCTGTCGATCAAGAAAAATAATGAGACAAGTCTCAATCATTTTAGGAAGAGGTTTATTTGCCAAAGTTAAGGACGGATCCTGGGAGATGGGTCTGTGCCTTTCTCTGAAGATGATTTTGAGGGCTCCAAATTTAAAGAGGAAAGGGCAGGATATTGAGAAGTAGACAATTTCATGTAAGAGGAAGGCAGGGAAAAAATAGTCATCTGTGCCTTTGTCTGGCTCAGTGAATCTACATTTTTTTTTTTTTACATAAGATGATATAGACAAATGAGGCAGAGTAAAAATTCAGGGAATCTGCATTTTACATAAGATAACATAGACAAAATGGGGCAGGGGAACAACGAGATATGCCTTTGTGTCTGGTGGGCAGGGGGTGATAGTACCTGTAAAGATAAGCTATCAATTTACATTGCTATGGCAAAAATTTAACAGAAACACCTTAAATGATCTTGCAGCTCACTAGGAATTTCCTCATGGGCAAAATTTGGGTGGGGTGGGGGCATAGGGGGGCATGTAGCTTTCATCTTGTAGCCATCTTATTTAGGAACCAAAGGTGGAGGCAGGTTTGTGTGACCCAGTTCCCAGCTTGACCCTTCCCATTGGCTTAATGAGTTTGGGGTCCCAAGATTTAATTTCCTTTCACAGAGTATATTTTCCACATTCCCTGTGATGTATGTATGTAAACACCATACACAGAGGAAAGAAAAGAGGTTTAAGATTACCGTGTTTCACTCCTCTATGAAATTCTTAGTCACATCCCGTGATCCTTAATTTATAATCCAAACTCAACAGGGCATGCAAGTTTCTTCAGGACCCTTCTCGTTTGCATCTGACAACTTTTGAGTCTATATTCTGGCCATAGTGACTGTCTCGTGGCCCTCCTCATGCATGACTTGTGGTCCACACAACTTTCATCCCTTTGCAAATGCTGCTCTCTGGACACAGAGTCTTTCAGACAGATCCACTGCTCTTTGAAGACTCAGCTCATATGTCACCACTCTTCTCACTGTTGCCTCTGCTCAGCCCCCACGGCACAGAACATGCTGTATTGTAGCAAAATCAGGCCTCTTTACCTCACAAATAGAAAGTGAACATCTTGAAAGCAAGGGCAATATCTAGTTTGTCTTTCAACTCCTGCTTTCAGTTGAGTGGCAGCTCAATAAATATTTGCCGAATGAGTGAAAAATTCACCCAGCAACCACATTATGCCTCTTGGGAAAAGTAACTCCTAAAGAGTGTCTTTATAAATAATAAATACCAGGCTTTTCCTTGTGCAGAAAAAACAGACCTCCCAAACATGTTTATTTTGGTCTAATACACAGAAGTGTATATTGGTGTGAGAACAAAAACCCACCAAATATTGTTATAGGAAACATATCTTACTGCAACCCAGCTGCATGCTCTGTGACTTTAAAATACATGTTTAAAATGCTTTGCAAAATTGCAGCATCTGAAAGAGAAGTACAGGATAGTGGTGCACACAGAGCTGGCCCTGCAGAGCTGGCTGCTGTGGGGAGTCCCCTTGGTTACATCTTCCCATCTGTACAGACAGCAGCAGGTGGAACCTGAGCTGTTCCATATGCGGATTAGTCAATCGCTTTTTCTAAAGGTTCCAAGAGGCAAGCTTACATTTTGTCTTCAGATCTTTATATGAAAATACCACTGTGGATAATGAGGCTGTTGTATGCATAATTTAACTTTCGGAAGCCTAAATTCCGCCGAAAGGCAAATTGGTACCTAGAGGCATGCAATTTGCATGGGGATTTCAAGCCCTCCTCCTATCTATTGTCCCTGGCATGGTGTTGCTTTTCTTCTAAATTATTTTCCCTTGTTCTTTGAATGCCTAATTCTGAGATTGTAACCAGATTACCATGGGCTCCATATTTAATAGTGGTTTCAGAAACCTGCTGAGCCTGCTTTGACCATTTCTGGGAGCATAAGTTGGGGTTTGGCAAACCTCTGCCAGCACCCAGAGGCAGTCTTTCTAATGAATCTGCTCCTTAGCCTGCAGCCCACCTGCCTGGAGAGGGTTAGGACCAGCTGAGCCTGCAGCTGCCCAGAGTGGGAGGAGCTGATGGAGTCCTGTGTGGCTGACTTCACAGCTCAATCTGTCAATCCGGTTGGGGACAGATGGTTAGAGAACTGTCTGTCTGAATTGCCTCAGAAAGAATTTGGTTTCTTGGCTGCATCTTCAAGTCATGGTCCACTTTCCTTTCTGCTCTGGACTGGAGAATGTGGCTGTGTTGGGAAGGGTACTAACTCTACTTTTCAAAGCCTTTCAGAGTAAGGATGTGTGTAAGTAAATCAAGGGCTCAGGAGAACTAACTGCTGATTGTCTTCTGATATTTCGTGTGTCATCTAATAGGCAATGTCGATTTTGCATGCAGTGCACAGGAGCATACCTGTCAATAAATTCTAACTGCTCAGAAATGATTTCTTCTGAGTAGCATGTTTGTATTTTATGAAGGTAAGCCATGAAGACCCAAAGATGTGCCAATATGTTTACTGTAACCATATTGGATAATTTTGACATATGGTGACCAGGGCAGTTTACAGATGACTGAGAAGTTCTTTCCTGATGCTTAGTAAATACCTAAGTCATTTGAAATGCCAACTAGAAACCAAAGAGGAAAAGAGAATTGGTGTGGAAGAGGAGAAAAAGAAAAGAAGAAAAGCGAGACAGAGAAAAGCCATTTTACCTAAAATTGGAGGTCTATTTCAGATCAATTTTTAGATCAAGAGATCTAAATCTGGGTCAGAACTCACTGAATACTTAGCTGGGTGAAATTGACCAAGTCACTCCTTCATTCCTTAAAATGAAGGCATTGGACTTAATAATTTCTGGAGGTCTCCTTGAAATCTAATATTCAGAAAATATTTTATTTGTCCTCTAAATTAGGTTATTGTAGCTATTTCAAAGATGACTGGGGTATGTACACTAGCCAGAAACAGGGTAGCAGGTCTGGGGTAGAGACAGAGGTCCAAGTTCCCTGTGATATGGACAACACATAAGGAAATACTGCGTAGAAGAGAGTGGTTCCCCAGCAAAGTCCCCAACCCCAAGCCTAGAAACCTGTGGCCTTAAATGGGAGCTGGTATTCCTGTTTTCACGCCCAAATGTTGCCTTTTCCAAGACCAATCTGGCTTACCATATCTGCTATACTTTGCTCATATAAACCCCAAGCTCCACGAGCAGAAGAGCACGAGAGCTCCATCACCTTTCCAGCTCCTCATCCATTCTGCTGGGAGTCACCTCCATCCAGCAATAAAATCCCCCGCATTTACCATCCTTCAGTTTATCCATGTCACCTGATTCTTTCTGGATGCCAGACAAGGACCCAGGTACCAAGAGGTCACTGAGCTGGTTAACACTTAAGCTGTCTGCAGATAGCAGAGCTAAAATAGCACTGTAACATGCCCCCTGGGGCGTCAGTGGTTGCAGGCACCCACCCCTAGATGCTACCTTGGGGCTGGAGCCCAAAAGCATTTGCCCTGGCTCCTGCCTGTCTGTGTGCTCCCCCTCCAGTAAAGGGTTTGAGCGCATGGTGGCTGAACAGGTAAGCCACACCCCTGTCACACATCCTGTGGCAGGGGTGGGGGTGGGGGTCAGGGAACTCTCCTGTTTCACCTGCAGCCCCCCAAATAATTATCATTCTTTGAGTTCTTACAATGTACCAAAACCTGCGTTGAGCACCTTAAATACATTACCTTGATTATTCCTTAAAACCACCTGCGACGTGATTATTGTTTCCCTTCTTGTATGTCTGAGAAGATAATGACTTAAACTGCCTCAAATCCCTTCATCCAGAAATGGGATGTCCTGCATTTTGAATCTCTGCTTTATTCTACCTCTATAAATGTCTAATTTGCCTAATAGTGATCCCCTGGTTTTGGGTTTTGACAAGATAGGGGCCCACCTACCATTTCCTCGGCTATTCTATAGTTGTATGTTATAAGGAGACCTTAAAATAAAGATATGATTTGTCTTGCTAGGAGCAAAGCATGTATGCATAGCTCATATAAGAACACATTTCTATGGAGATAACATTTTGAACCAAAGTGGCTTTAAAAGGCAGCAGAGATGTGTATATTTCCTGAAGGCATAGAACCTTTTTCTCCCTCTAGTTAACATGGCCCTTCTTTTCTTAAGACTGACAGTTGTATTCTTGTTGGGCAGTCACTAGAATTTGTTCTGTTGCCAGACCTCCTGGGGCATCAAAGTGCTGTCTGAATTAGAGAATAATGGCATGATGAGGTCAATGACAGCTCTGAAAATGACATGTTGCCATAGTGGTAAGAAAATTTCAAAAATATAAAGAACTCCATTATCTTATGATATTTTATTAGTATCTATTCTCCTGGCATAGTACAGTTTTTATTCTTCTAGGAATGGGTTGAATAAGTTGAGTCCACTCTTATTTTTATGATCTAATGCATAGAGGCAACATCAAAATACGAATGCCTTGCAAAAGATTGCCTATGTTGTGAAAATGAGAAGATGTAGTTGTTAAATGCCCATAATAAGTCAGGCATTGTAATAATTTATAAGAGTGGATAAAAATACTAGAATTAAAATTTAGGGGTTTTTAAAAATTCCTTTTTCTTCACATCTGAAGTGTGATATTGATCTGGATGTGTGGTTGACTCCAGGATGGTGAAGAATATGTAAGTAGGGATTGTGATAAATAAAGTTCAAATAATATGAGATTAAAAAAATCTTTATAGAAAAGGATCAGGGAGATTTGAATACAAGAGTTATATTGTTTAGTTAGTTCTAGCTTTCCAAAGATTTTCAGTAGATTTTATTAAAAGGATTATGTTCCATATTAGCTTTTTTTTTTTAAAATTTTGCTTTGCAGACATTTAAAGTGATCCTGATATTCAATGGCACATATAACCTTCATTGATTTGCTTTCCAGCTCTTTGTGACTTTACAAATTCAATGCATACAGGTAAAGTGTAATCAAGTTATTAATCTTTGAGAATCTTTATGTACTACTTATAACAGAATCAGTTCTTGTGACTCAGTAAGGAAGGCAAACATTTTCATGAATTGCAGTCTGTAGAGGAGAAGAGTAGTGTTGATTGTATTTCTTTACTTTTATATCACAGAGTTATATTACACCCAGTCATTTACATTTGATGCTATTTGATATGATAACATTTGCTATGTGAACAGAATTGTAGAAATCAAAAATCATTTAAAAAGAGTCTCTTCCTCCCAGTCCTAGAATAAAACAGTTCCGTCTGGCGTACTGTTATTCAGAGCCTTCTGATGAATACTATGTTACTAACGGGTAAGAATAAGGAGAAGAAAAAGGAAAAAGGAGAAAAGGTACCATTTCTGCATAATTGAAATAAAATAGGAATTACTGTGGGAAGTATTTCCTGGATGTTCCACAAGAATTTATTTTACTTTCAGTCTCTAAATTATGACAGTGTTGCTTATAACCTTTAACAGTTGGATTCCAGATGTCCTCCATTTAACACTGTTCATCCAAACATGTGTACACAATTGGCATATCTACTTTTTATCATGCTGTGATAAACATCATGTATTTCAGGTACTGATTCTTTTTTATACATCAAAACTGCTTCAGATCAGCAGAACTCAGACACAGTGTATGCTGGGACCTCAATAGTGTCAGCCAGGGTGGGGCTTAGTCATGGTTCAAAGAAAAATAAATTGAAATAATCGTATGTTTTTCTTAAAATATGTTAATATTGCATGTAAAATCTTCACATACGTGGGATAAACCTCACTTGGCCATGACATATTATCCTTTTTTTTTTTTTTTGGATTAAGTTCACTAAAATTGTGTTAAGATTTTTTGCATCTATGTTTATGAAGAACACTTGTATGTAATATTCTTGTAGTGTCTTTGGTTTTGGTGTTGGAGGAATGTTGGCCTAATAAAATAATTTGGGACTGTTCCCTCCTCTTAAATATTCTGAAAGAGTTTTACAGAATTGGTGTTTTTTTAAATTACATTTATGGTAGAGTTGCCGAGTAAAGTCATCTGGGATTGGAGTTATCTCTGTGGGAAGATTTTCAACTACAGTTTACTGATATAGATAGTTCAATAATTATATATAGGAAAATTCCAGTTATCTATTTTTGAAAAACCTTCTATGGTTTGATGTTTTAAGTATTATTTATTATTTATTTATTTATGAGACGGAGTTTCACTCTGGTTGCCCAGGCTGGAGTGCAATGGTGCGATCTCGGCTCACTGCAACCTCCACCTCGCAGGTTCAAGCTATTCTCTCGCCTTAGCCTCCTGAGTAGCTTGGATTACAGGCGCCTGTGACCACACCCAGCTAATTTTTGTATTTTTTGTAGAGACGGGGTTTCACCATGTTGGCCAGGCTGGTGTCTAACTCCTGACCTCAGGTGATACACCTGCCTCGGCTTCCCAGGGTGCTGGGATTACAGGCGTGAGCCACCGTGCCTGGCCAAGTAATTTTTCTGTTTCATCAAAGTGTTTGTTGGTGGTGACATAAATTTGTTCCATATAATTTCTTATTTTTAAAAATACCTCTACAGTCTGTAGTGCTGTCATTTCTCTCATTTCTGTTATCGATAATTTGTGTCTACTTTTTTCCCTACCCTCGTCACTCTTGATAGAATCAATTTTATTAATGTTCTCAAAGGATCAAGTTTTTATTTCACTAGTTTTTCTCTATTGATTTTCATTTTTCCATTTTAAAAAATTTCTGACTTCATTATTACTTTTTTCCTTCTGCTTATTTTGTGTTTCATTTGATTTTCCTTGTTTTTCTTTTTTAATATGGAAAATAAGATTATTAACATGAGGTGTTTTTAAAATTCTAATATAGGTTACCAGTGCTATAAATTTCCCACCAAAGTCTTACTTTTGCTAATTCCTACAAATATTGATATGCTCTGTTTTTATTTTCAGTTTAATATACTTTCTAATTACTTTTATATTATTCCTTTCTCCATTGGTTAATTAGAAGTATGTTAGTTCCAAATATTTTGACATTTCCCTGATATCATTTACTTATTGATCTCTAACTTAATTCCACTGTGTTCAGAGCACATGCATTGTATGAGTTGAATCATTTTAAATATATTGAAACTTGTTTAATGAACCCGAATATGATCTATCCTAGTAAATGTGGCATGCACACTAGAAAAGAATATTTATCTGCTGTTGTTGGATGGAGTGTACTATAACTGAATTTTTTCAAGTTGGTTGACTTTTGTTCAAGTTTTCTATATCTCCACTGATTTGCTATCTTCTTGACTGTCAACTACCAAGAGATAAGGGTTAAAATAGCAGATTATAATGGTGGATTTGTCCATTTCTCCCTTGCAGTTCTATTGATTTTTGCTTCATATATTTTGAAGTTCTGTAGTAAGCTGCATAGATATTTATCATTGTTATGCATCCTTGGAGTGTTTACCCATCCCTTTATCATTATGTAGTATCATTACTCTTTTGTTTTCTTTCTTCCTTTTTTTTTTGGAGACAGGTTTTCACACCGTTGCCCAGGCTGGAGTGCAGTGGTGAGATCATGGTTCACTGCAGCCTCAATCTCCTGGGCTCAAGAGATTCTGCCATGTCAGCCTCCTGAGTAGCTGAGACTGCAGGCATGTGCTACTGTGCCTGGCTAATTTTTTTGTTTGTTTGTTTTTAGTAGAGACAAGGACTCGCTGTGTTGCCCAGGCTGGTAGTATTTCTCTTTATTCCTCAAATTTTGGTGATTATAAAGTCTACTTGGTCTGATGATAGTGTAATTACTCCAGCTTTCTTTTGGGTATTGTTTGTGTGGTATATCTGTTTTCATTTATGCTTTTAGCCTGTTTATATATTTTAAAGTGGGCTTTTTGTAGGCAGCATATAATTGGGTCTTGCTTTTTGATCCAATATGATAACGTTTCCTTTTTTTTTGCATTTCCTTTGTTGTTTTCTTACCTCTATTTCTTTGTTTTATTATTTTCGTGGTTGCTTTATCATTATTTGATAGTTTTAGTATATACCTCTAGCTTTCACTGTCAAGTTGCAAGTAATATTACATCACTTCATGTGTATTATAAGAACTCTGCATAGTACACTTCACTTCTCTCTCCCCTCCTCATCTTTATGCTACTGTTATCAAACATTGTATATACATATACATAAACATATACATATATAAATAAACCTCACAATACTTTGTTACTATTTTTGCTATAAACAGTTGATTATATTTGGAATATTTAAATGAAAAGATACTTTATATTTACTCACATAATTGCCATTTCCCATGCTCTGTATTTCTTTGGGTAGATACATATTTCTGGCTGTTAATTTTCTTCTGACTGAAGGATGTCCTTTACATTTTTTTGTAATGCAACTCTGTTACTGCTGGATTTTCTCAGCTGTTGTAGCCCTATAAATGGCTTTATTTCACCTCTGTTTTTGAAAGATACTTTTGTTGAGTAAAGCATTGTAGATTAACTTTTTTGTTTTTGTTCTTCCCTTTCAGTTTCTTAAAGATCAGCTCTATTGACATCTCTGTTGCAAATGTTTATAAGAATTCTACTGTTATCATTACCTTTGTTTTCTGTATAATGCAGCTTTTTCTGTTGGTCACTTATAAGATTTACAATTTATCACTGGTTTTCAATTTATTGCTGTAAAAAGTTTATTATGATGTGCCTTTATATGGTTTTCTTCATCCTTCTTATGCTTGGAATTTGTCGAGCTTCTCAACTCTATGGGTTTATAATTTTCATGATTTTTTTTAATTGACTATTATATTTGAAAATAGCTTTTTGTTCTCATCTTCTTCTGGAACTCTACTTCTACATATGTTATATGCCTAATATATACTTTGAAGTCGCCCCATACTTCACTGATGCTCATTATTGTTTTTAACTTCCTATTTTTGATAGTTTCTATTGCTATGTACCCAAGACCCCTACCATTTCTTCTGCAATGTCTAATGTGTCTTCCATCCCATCCAGTGCATTTGTTATTTCAGACTATATAGTTTTCATCTCTCATTTGTTTTCCATTTCTCAAGAATCACTGTCCTTCTTTGCCAGAAATCTAAAGTCTTAGTCCATGATACTACATTTTGGCCAGGACTGGAAATTTCTCATCACCTTTAATGTATGTAATCTTTGCCAAATGAATTAAATTCTCTCTCAATTTTCTTTTAAAAAATTGTAATTACAAATTAGCTATGTCAAAAAAAGATTGTTTAAAAAATAAGGTGATCCAGAAAGACAGCTTAGTATATTCTTTGAAGCATCTTAATTAGTAAAGGCTAGTATCATTAAAATTAGGAAGTGATGCTTGGAGTCATTTTAGGCATTGATACTTTATTCTATGTGATCAGTTCATTGGAAGAATGACCCTGGGCTGAGGGAATGCATATAGGCCATGTAGTATGAGAAACAAACAAGAACAAGAACCAAGGAGAGTATTTGATTATTTGGATCCTAGAATCTTAGACTCTCATCTCAGAAGCAAGATTAGGATAAGAACAGGACATGGGACTAGATGCCCAGTCCATGGCCTGAGCATCAGTGGTAAAACAGGAGAAAACTACAAGGACCAGGTGGATGCTGTCAGCTTGCCACTGTACTACTGGACATGGTACCAGATTTTTCTGTGTGAAAACCTGGCTCAGCAGTAGATGGGGCTGAGCTTTCAGTGTGGAGATAACTGTGTCTACAATCAAGAGAGTCTGAGAAAGACAGGGATTAAAAATATTATTTCTTGCTTTATCTATCTATCTTATTCATTTACATGAATGTCCTTCACTATTGTAATGATCTTAAAAACAATGAAACCCCAAAGAGTTTACTTCAGCGGAGGCAGAGATGTGAATAAATTATGGAAGCTTAGGGACCCTCATATCCCCCATCTCAAAAAAATGATACTGCAGCTATGACTGCAAACCAAATGCGATTGCCTTTCTTTGTGTTCACATGATGCCTGAAATTTACTAGATATGTTTCTTCTCTCATGCAGCCTAACATATATGACTTGTAAACCAGCCCATGATATGTCTTAGTTAGGTAAGGCTGCCATACCATAGACTGAGTGGCTTAAACAACAGAAATTTCTCACAGTTCCTGAAGCTGAAAGTCCGAGATCAAGGTTTGGCAGGTGTGGTTTCTCCAGTGGTCTTTTTCCTTGGCTTGTAGTCAGCTGCTTCTCTCTGAGTCCTCTCATAGCAATTCTCTATCCACATACCCTCCCGTGTCTCTTCCTCTTAAAAACACCAGACCTATCATATAAGGGACCTCTTCTTAGGATCTCATTAACTTTCATTACCTCCTTAAAGGTCCTGTCTCCAAAAACAGTCACATTGCGGGGTTAGGGCTTCAACTTGTGAATTTTGGCAAGGGTTGTGGGGGGGCACAATTTCATAACATAGTATGAGGAATAGGTGTTTACACAGAATTTGTCTCCTGAACAAAACTTCTATATCCTTATATTGCAGAAGCCAACACTCTGGCTCAGAGGTTTATGGAAAGAACATTTGCTAGAAGGAGAAGGGCCAGTATCTTCACTGGTATTTTGGACAAGGGTCTTGTTTGGATATTTGTTATGTGTGTGTCTTCAAAGTGTGAGACCTTCGGCCACATCCCTCAGTGGCTGAAGTAGCATTCTGGATTAAGGAATTTTTAAAATTAAATTAAAGTTTTAAATTAACACATGATAATAGTACATATTTACAGGGTACATAATGATGTTTCGATACTATGCAATGTGTAGTGATCAGACCAGGATAATTAGCATAGCCATCATAATTCATATTTTTTACTGATTGGTTGGCCAACATCTCTCCAATTCATGAATCTAGAGGAACGTGGTTTATGGACCTCTGCTCCTGTGGACTCTGTTCAAGTCCGTAAATGGTTTGAGCAAGGATTGCTCAATTTCTGTTAACCTCACCATAGTCAGGGTTTGGGGACCTGTAACTGCCTTGGAGTGATTTCAAGATGCTGGGCCATTTCCAGTCATCTCTTATTCTCACAGAAACCTCCTGGCATGCCTGGCACATCTTCACTCAATAAAACCATTTAAATAAATGATTGAGCAAAGAACACCTATTCAAGTGTCCATGCCAGAGGGGAAGATGTAGGAGCATACTAGAAGTTAATGAGCCAGGAATTTAAAGTTTTAATGTGTTTGTCCCTGAAGTTTGCCTCATCCATGCTTATTTTTAGAAAGCCATAGATTCTGTTGCTGGCACTCATTTCTAGTGCTTTTTTTATTGCTGATCAGTTTTAAAAAGTAAAAGCAAGTTCATGCCAACTATATATTTCAGCCATTTTCTGCATCCTTTGCCTGCCTCCAAAGCAGAGGTATACAGGGGAGTGGAGAATAAAGCCACTGGACAGCCGAGGGCCATGTAGTCCCAGAGACAGCTCTTCCAGGAGCATGGAAGAAAATATTAACTCTTTCCACTTGTACTGAGATATTTTTAGAGTGGCTTCTTTTCTCTTTGGCTTGTGCCAGGGTGCTACTTTATTGAGGAGCTGTCAAACTTTTTAAAAAAGAATTATTTCTATACAAGAAGAGTTTCCTTGATTCTATATCCATTGTGCTCTTTTATAAAAATCTCACTTGTTCTGGGAACTTACTAATTAATAGTTACATTGCAAGTTTTTTTTTCTTTTGCCTCAATTACCTAAAATAAGGGTAAATGAGTGCTAAGTTTTTTTGTTTTGTTGTTTGTTTGGTGGGTTTTTCCTTCTTGGTTTTTTTTTTTTTTTTTTTAAAGAAAAAAAAGAATTACTGGAAATTACATTTCAGGGGCACATGCCTAGTTTGGGACAGATTGAAATAAGAAGACATCCAAAACAGGGGTTATAGAGCACACAACATGTATTTCCAAGTAAAAAAGCAAGGCTGTTTTTAGATCTTTTGTCATATTGAGTCATTGTAAAGAATGAGACTAAATTTATTGGCCACATAGGATAATCTGTCTTATTCCTTCAAAGAAACTGCTCAGGTACATGACATTTCTGTCTCCAAACCAAATGTCTAATGTGCTTTTATCTTGGCAATGTCACTTAAATCCCCTTCCAAATCTTTTCTTATATGTCATCATGTAAAATAGACTCCTGGAAACCAAAATGGCTACTCAGGAAGGCCACGCTCTAGGCAGTTCATCACAGGAAGCTGGAGCTCTGTGCTTCTGGTCCTATGCTCCCTGAGCTGCTATAGCTATGGACCATGGCTACCACCCAAGGGTTTCCCCCAAACCATACCTAGCCTCTGCGGTCTGCCTGAGGTAGGAATTTCTTAGTGTGCATTGATTCTCTTTCTTCCACTTTCCTGATGACATTTCATTACAGCAAAGAAAATTTTTGGCCATAAAGATTTTCCATATATGGATCTTTTCCAAAATCTGTGTCTGTAGTTAGGAACAACTTAATAAGAAGGCTCAGTGTTGGCACCATTTTTAAGAATATTTATTTCCCTGGGCTAATATTCTTTTAAAAATACTGCTTCTTAAGGGAAATGATACCTGTAAAAGAAAAATTAGAAGCTTCTGAATAAATTTGAAGAGGAAAGTCATGAAAAATTATAATTATATAAACTTTACACTATTATTGCTCTTTTGCTATATTTTCCGGTCATTTTTGCTATATTTACCTGATTTTTATAGTCATGATTACATAATATGTTTTTCTCTCTATTTGTTTAACATTGTATTATAATCAGGTTTATAATCAGGTTAACAGATGCTTCATAAACATCACCTTTGACAACTGCATGAAATTCCACTGTATGACTCCAAATGTAATTTACTGAACTGTTCTATTAATGGAAATTTATGCAATTTTAATATTTCTATTCATATAGATATATGGCAATACAGATATTTGAACAACATTTTTTTTCTGATTTAGGATGTTTTCTTTAGACAGATTCCATGTGGAAATATGAGGTCAAAAATTAGAAATATTTTTAAACCTTTGATAAATAGCGTTTTCCATACTGTTTCCTACCTCGTTGTAAGTACAAGTTTGTCCACCTGGCTTCCTAAGTTGGTCAACATAAATTTGCACCAACTTAACATCTGAAATATAATAATATACACTGAGGTTCTTAGCATAATTTGTGTTTCTTTTAAATTGGCATTGCTGATGACATTAACCAGTGTGACTGGGGAATGATTCTGTTGTCCACTGATCCATTTAATGTCTCAGTTCTGGCCATCTAGTGGTCTAGTCTGTGTTTTCTACTGAACAACATATTGAGCTTTTCTCTGCTGCTTCCTGGCTTTCATATTTACTGCAGAGAAATCTCATTGTCTGCAATGATTGGACTTTTAGAATAGAATCTTAGTCATCTGTATTCTACGGCATGAAAACTAGGCCCACACTATTTACTACTGACCTGAGGACTCAGCTCTGCCTGCATGTAGACCTGGAAAAACACCTTCTGCCTGTGCTCAGAATACCTGCTGGACCTGGTCACTCTCTACCCATGCTCTTTTCCTCAATGCTTTCCTTCCTTTCACCTGTTGTCTTTTCATCTTCTCTCTTTTTATTCTTGGTCTGGCACTCGTGCAAGTAGAAGTGATTTGATAGCTTCCTCAGGCTTTTCATAAAAAGGGACCATTTCCATGCAAGTGCTATTTTTACCAGTCTCAGAATTGTGTAAAAGGCTTTGGTTCTGTGATATTTTCTGGACCACACTATAAAAATTCCCTGATGCTATAGACCCATGGGTTTTACTTTAACTCAGTATTTCCTAAACTGTGCTTCTGTGGAATTTCAGTTCAATTTCAATGGGAGCCAGGAACTAAGGTTCCCATGGTCAAATAAACTGCAAACTGTGCTTCCTAAATGGTCTTCTTGAAGATTTGCAGTTCATGTTATCATATCTAATGGTTTGGAGACATCAGAAGGAAAAAAAAATTATGTTTTAACTTGGTCACTCCCCACTGAGGAACTATTTTTTTTCTCTTTTTATTTTTTATGGCTATACCTAGAGTCATTTTTCCTTAAAACCCATCTGGAAAAAGCTGGTTTGACCATGCAACCTGTTTATTAAAGTGGACCATGGTTTTACATCAAGGGGAAGATGTGACAAAAAATAAACATTTTCCAGTTTTGGAGCTGGACTGTGCACACATTTCTGTTCAGCAGTATTAGAACCCCTTCAACATTTGGAAATTATAATGTTTCTGCAGATGGGAACAAGCTGGATGCCAAGGAGTGTGCATGAGCGAGAGCAGAGGCCCAGCCTGTGAGCTCCACTCTGCTCTGCTGGCAGTGATCCAGTGACTACCTAACAGAGAGAAGTGGATAGCTTTATGGGCAATTGTTTGCCCACTGGTTGAAATGCTTGGGTTGGATTTATCGGAACCATGGTCACATAAAGTTGTCTGTCACCCAAAGGGAATCATAAAGATGCCTTGAGTACCAGAGAAGGATCATTGATTTCTTTGGAGCCATAGTGTTCAGCCTCTCACAGCTGGGGAACTGCTTTGCTGTGAAATAGAATTTCAGTTGGATACAAAATTAATCAGTTTTCACAGTTCAAAATTTTGACTAAGACACTGTGTCAGTGTGTTTGGTACATGCTGTGTTTGAGCCTGGAAGCCTACGCCTCACATTTGTGTAGCATCGTGACACCACCAACTGCCTGTTGATGTCATGGGGAACCAGGGTAATGGGGAGCGGACAGTTTCTCCTCTGCCACTCTAGCTCTTTCTCCCAGCTTGAATACAGGGCTGACCTTTCACAAACTAACACATCTAGAAGGGACCTTAGTGACTATTAATCCAACACTGACCAGGGGAAGAAATCCTTTTGCAACACCCATGATCAGCCGCTGACCCAACCTGTGCTTGCATACTTGTAATAATGGGGGATCCACCACCCTACATGGCAGCCCTATGGTTAGATTTTGAATGATAACTAGGCTTTGGTGAAATTCCTGTTTCGTGAATAAATCAAAAAGAAGGCAAATTCCATGTTGTCTCATCTCTCTACTGGCATGAGATCAATATCAAGGAGACAATCAATCACTTATCTTTCATGTCTCTGATGTGATCCATTTGCTATATTTTGGTCTCAAATGCTTGGGAAGACAGTAGATAGAGAAAGAAACTGATACTTATGATCCAAAATGATCTGCCAAATCCAATCTCTTGAGGCAATTAAATTAGAAGGATATATAGGTCTTCCCAAGAAACAGAACTAGGCAAACATAGGCATTTATATTTGGTGCAATATCCTCACCCTAACAAAAAAAGAATGTTTTTCTACTTATATAGCTGATCACACAGAAAGGATCAACAATCGAGTTTTTGAACATAATTTTTCATTTCTCAAAACCCTACTTGCATAAGGAAAACAGTCTGTTCACAAAGAGGGTTTCAGTTTTGCAGTGAAGTGTAATGGGAAGAATATATTCAGATATGTTTATTAATCAAGATCTACCCCTGTCTTTTTATTCTATATTCGTTTAGGTGGTCCGTAACAATGGGGAAGAAAAGATGAGCAAGTTATGGCCCTTGTCCTTAAGGAGCTCAGGATCTCCCCAGTGGGCTGCAGGAATGGCAAATACCCACAAAATAGCCGCCACACAAGGCAGAGAGTGATACGTGTTCTACTAAGAATAGCAGTAAAATGCTGAGGAATCAGAGAGATCAAGGTTAATGCCAGGTGGAAGACTGGGGAAAAGTACACAGCTGAATTGACTCTGAGTTGCATGTGGGAAAATGGATGAGATTTCAAAAGGCAGAGATTAAAGAGTTACTGCTACATGGAGGCATTTTCCTAGAATGTCCCTCAGTATAGGAGGCAGGGGCTTTCAAAACTCTGTATTCATCATTTTCTATAGACATTTTTCCTTGTAGTATGTCTTGTCACTGTATCCATAGCTAAAGTTTTGGAGATTTGTATGCTTATATCATTGATGGGATTGTTTTAAATAAATGTCTTATAATTTAGCAATTTTAGTTCCTGGAGTCTTTTCACACTTACTGAGAAATCTACAAGGTACTCTTCTTGGTTCATAGGTAGGTACCCATTGCATTGACTTTTAATTTTGGGTGGAGTCTGAGTGTCCTTATTCTCTTTTCTCATGGAAAAATGTCGTGCCCTGGCCAGGGAGGAGGAAAAGAAAAACAGCATACTGCTGGATGGCTCCAATCTTTCTGTAGTATTGAAGACAGTGGGAGAAGGAAAGAGAGAAAAAGGGATGGGAGCCGGGGGCGGTGACTCACGCCTGTAATCCCAGCACTTTGGGAGGCTGAGGCGGGCGGATCACGAGGTCAGGAGATGGAGACCACGGTGAAACCCCGTCTCTACTAAAATAATTAGCTGGGCCTGGTGGCGGGCGCCTGTAGTCCCAGCTACTCAGGAGGCTGAGGCAGGAGAATGGCGTGAACCCGGAAGGCGGAGCTTGCAGTGAGCCCAGATGGCATGGCGTCTCAAAAAAAAAAAAAAAAAAAGAAAAGAAAAAGGGATGGGCCTTTCAATCTGGTGAGTGCAAGCAAGAGTCTTGCCATGGTCAGGGATGTGTAAATAAGGGCAGCTTTCTCTCAATATGGACATTCTCAATGGACATTTACATTCATTCATTACGTTTTCCTCGAAGCATGGAAGGAGTACATGCTGTGTATCAGGAGTTGCCTTTTCAAAGCTCACAGTCTGGTGAAGGGAAAGGAAACATGTAAACTGGCATTTGCAATGCAATATGATAAGGGCTATGACAAAAGGAATGTGGAATTCTGTGTCTTTGAGGGCAGATAAGAGAGACTGCAAATAATAGCTCTAGAAGACAATGTCTGAGCCAAGCAAGAATTAGGTGAGCAAAAAGATGGGCACCTTTTTAAAAATTATGGGCATTTAGTGAGTGATTTTATAAAGAAAATAGCACATTCATTCATCTTAATTAAGTTTACTTTGCAGTTAATTACGCTGAGTGACCTTGGGGATATATAAGTATTTGATACAGACTTAATATGAGGTGGATGCAAATATCACTGATAGGTGAGTGTGTGCTGCAAAACGATACAGAGTCCATCTGTGTTTGAGTAATGATAATTATCAAATCTCATTGGAAGTTTTTCAGTTATTGAATGGAATAATATGCAGTTCTTCTCTTAATAAAATTAATTCAAGCATACTTTATATTAAACAATATATTTTGGAAGAACACTACCAACAAATTTACCAAAACAAAAAAAATAATGTCACAGCTCTCAGGAGGTGCCAGCATTTATTGATTACACACTACATGTTGTTACATACATTCATTTATATAATTCTCATTTTAAAAAATCTTAGCTGATATTGTTGGCTACTGCTTACATTTCATCCTCCGTGGCCTTTACTTCAACTGAATTTCAGTTTTATGCCAACAATCAGCCCACTGTCCTTCACATGGCCGTGCATTTGCTTCATGAAGCTACTCAGGGGAATGCCAATATTCAGACTGAGAATGCTTAAGAGGTGGGCATGGGACTCAAATCTTGTTAATGAATTAGGAGTGATGATGTTTAGATGTGATGCCTAAAATCATGGCAGCTATCTGTGACAAGGGAGCCTAGCCTAAGGATATAACCAATGATGGCTCAGCAGGATATAGCCAATGATGGCTCAGCAGAATGAGTCCTTTATTTTGGGGGATCTAGGTAAGCAACTATATTAGACAACCTAGGAACCCTTTCCTACTAAACGAGGTAATGTTATTTTCCTTCAGATTTAAGCCATTTGTGTTGAGTTTTCTGAACTCTCAGCCAAAATCATTCTCATTGACAGGTAGGTACTCTCATTATCTCCATTTTACAAATAGGGAAATTGGGGGTTCAATAAGTTAAGTCAGCACTTTTGGAGGCTATGGCAGGGGATCACTTGAGCCCAGAAGTTTAAGGCAGCATTGAGCCATGATCATCATGCCACTGTACTTCATCCTGGGCAACAAAGCAAGACCCTGCTTCTCAAACACAAAGAAAAACAAACAAAAAAAAGAAGTTAAGAACTTAATGAACATCATGCAGCTGGTAAAAATATCAGAATTAGGATCAAAATCAAGTCTGTCTTACATCAATACCCTAGTGGTTAATTTGTGGTTAGACATCTTCTACATATATTTTTTGAAACATATCACACTAAAGCACTGAAATAAATAATGACAAAAATGTCTAGTAATTCAAATATATAATCTGTGAGAAAGCCACTTTCCCCAGTAATGTTTTATATCAAGTGTTGGTAAATTGTGTAAGGGGTCAAATAATAAATATTTTAGAGTTTATGGGTCAGATGGTTTCTTTCACAACTACTCAACTCATTGCAGCTCAAAAAGCCATAGACAATGCATAAACAGATGAGCTCAGCACTGTTTCAGCAAAATTGTAATTACAAAAACATGTGGCAGACCAGATTTGGGCCTGGGACCATAGTATACTGAACACTTCTCTACATGAACTAAATCTGATTCTTTGTGAAGGGTTCGCCAGGGAGGATGGGCAAAAGCTCATTTTACTAGGTGTGTACCAAAAAAAAAAGTCACACCAGTAGAAGAGAAAAGGAGATATGGAGTGCAGTGTGGAAGGGACAGAGAGTGCACCCTCTTCACAAACTTTAAGATATCAAAGAAAATGACTGTTTTCCTACTTTGTAGTGCAGATTGGGAAACAGCTTCAGACAACACAAAAGGAGGGGAGCTCATGGCTTCCACCATCAGAGAGGCAAAGTTAGATAGTAGATTTCTAGCCTACTATCTGTGCTTAAATTGGAATTTCTGTTAAAAATTCCGAATTTTCTCAGCAATAACTTTCAAAGACCACCACACCATTATCTTTCTTTCTTTCTTTTCTTTTCTTTTTTTTTTTTTTTTACAGTCTTGTTCTGTTGCCCAGGCTGGAATGCAGTGGTGCAGTCTTGGGTCACTGCAACTTCTGCCTCCCTGGTTCAAGCGATTCTCCTGCCTCAGCCTCCCAAGTAGCTGGGATTACAGGTGCCCACCACCACATCTGGCTAATTTTTGTATCTTTACTGGAGATGGGGTTTTGCCATGTTGGCCAGGCTAAAGACAACCGTTATCTTTCATACTCAAAATATTGAATGACCCACAAGCAGTATAATACATAGCTGTTATTTCTGCAAATGGAGAGATAAGAATTGGAAGTGAACAGATGGTTATAGCTCTTTGATTTTTGTTTTAATTGCTTTCCAACAATCACAGAGAATGGACCAATTTTCTCAATAATATTTGTTCTGAAACAAAGGTCTGGGAGTCAAGTTTGTCAATAAGGCAAAGAGTTTTTGGGAGGTATGTGAGGGTTTTTCTTTTTTTTTCTCAAATGGTTTGCAAAGGCATAACATGAAATTGACTGTTATTTATTTGCAGAATCTTAACTACTGAGCCATATTTGTCCCCTTTTACTTCTTACTAAACTGGAAACATAAAAAAGGGTTTATAGGAAACCAAGGTTAACAGATAGGAACATAAAGTTTCACTCTTCTTTCCTGCTTCTGGCAACCACTAATTTATTTTCTGTCTCTGTGGATTTGCCTATTCTGGACATTTCCTATAAATGGAATTATGTAATATGCAGACTTATGCCTACTGTCTTTCACTGAGCATAATGCTTTCAAGGTTCACCCATGCTGTAGCATGCATCAGTAAATAATGTCTTTTATTAGTGAATAATATTCCATTGGATAGATGTACCAACTTTTTTGTTTATTCATCACTTGGTGGACAATGGAGTTGCTTCCACTTTTTGGCTACTATGTGTAATATTTCTATAAACACTCATAAACAAGTATGAACATTTGCTTTCAATTCTCTTATGTGAGGAGTGGAATTGCTTGGTCATATGGTAACTCTAACATCTTGAGGAATGATCAAACTTTTCTGCAGAAGCTGCACCATTTTACTTTCCCCAGCATTGTATGACTATTCCTATTTCTCCACATTCCTGCCAATACTCATTGTTGTCCGTTCTAATGGGTGTGAAGTGATATTTCATTGTAGTTTTGATTTTACTTTACATAAACACTAACAATTTTGGACATCTTTTTATGTGTTTGTTGGATGTATGTATATATTCTTTGGAAAAATATCTATTCAAATAGAAAGGAAAATTTTAAAGAAGAGAAGATGTATGATAAAATTTATATTGACTGCATGTCTATAATGCATTGGGGTCTTTACTCATAAAAATGAATAATAAGTAATATTTTAATCATATTACATAAATAAGATTCAGATAAATTAAGAACTTGCTAAAGAAAATAGTTGGCTATGGTTAAGCCAAGAGTCAAATAAGATCCGCACGCCTTCCCTTTGTCCCATGTACATATGCTTCATGTGCATCGATATGAAGATGTACATCTTACAGAGATGAATAAGACAAACATGACTGAATAAAGCATGAGTGTGCCCCTCTCCTCTCTGGAAAAAAGTAAAAACATAAAAAACTTTTATGGAATAATGCAGAAAAGGATCAATTCTCTTTCTGATGTCAATATGATAGTAAAGTTGTAGGTAGTGCACTTGTGAGATCATCACCTTACTAGTGATTGATGGGGGCATCCCACTCTTTATTGATCTAGTCTATGTAATAGCACATGAGAAATCCATGAACCGCCCTGTGGAGGGCTTATTTATCTTTTAAAATGCTATAACCACATCCAGTATCTCTAAACAAGTGCTTAGAAGTTAGAAAACATTATGAGTATATTAGCCACCTAGACACCACTCTCCCCTGCCCAGCACTTAGCAGAGTGTAGATTGGGTACATGACAGTCACGCATGCCTTGTTGCTCCTGGGAGGCAGACTTGCCTTATTATCTGAACTGATTTCCTCACTTTCCACCCCAGGAATCAATACAGTACTCAGCAGTCTTATATTAGATGCTCCATGATAGATTGTTAAATAAATGACTTTAATTGGCATCATACAGCGATATTACAGAATTAGATATACAGTTGATGCTCAATAAATATGTGCTGACTTATTTAGTAAAGAAAGGAAAGATGTGCTTGGTGCCAAGCACTGTGAAAATCCCACTACCACACATTGTCTTCTTTTCTCATTTAGGCTTCGTGAAACCCCATGAATTATATGCTTTCATATATTCACCTTATTCATGTTCAAAATGCCAGCAAGTAGTAAAGTAGTAATGCAAACCCAGATCTGCAAAAGTACATTACAAAGCATTAAGTTGGATATTTAGAACTCGGCACACTAAATTTCATCTGGGGCTAAAACACAGAGTCCCAATGTAGTACCAAGAAACAAGCCTTTCCCACTTTTGCTTAAGATGACACCAACACTGCCATGAAGAAGATGAACAGGGGTGCACAGGATGATACTTCTTCAAATAAGTGAAATGATTGATGTATTGGGTACTTTATGCAAGAAGATTTGGAGAACAATGTAATTGTTTTATAATCTGATTGCGTATCCCTAAGACCTGGATGTTTTCAAAATGATAAATGACTTAATGACTGAATACATTCTAGTTGCCTGTTTTAAACAAATGTGACATTTTAGGGGTTAATGCTACATTCTTGATTTCCTGTATTTTTAGTCAGTAACTGTATTAGTCTGTTCTCACACAGTTATGAAGAAATACCTGAGACTGGGTAATTTAAGAAGAAAAGAGGTTTAATTGACTCATAGTTCCACATAGCTGGGGAGTCCTCAGGAAACTTACAATCACGGCGGAAGGCACCTCTTCACAGGGCAGCAGGGGAGAGAATGAGGGCCAGCAGAAGAAACGCCAGAGGCTTATAAAACCATCAGATCTTGTGAGAACTCACTCACTATCACGAGAACAGCATGGGGGAGGCTGCCTCCATGATTTGGTTACCTCCCACCAGGTCCTTTCCACACACGGAGATTATGGGGATTACGATTCAAGATGAGATTTGGGTGGGGATACAGCCAAACCACTTCAGTAACTTTCTCTCTGTTTAAAAATTTTTAAATTTCTATTTTTTTTAAAGTTTGAACATGTTGAGGTTCAAATGTCTTAAGCTTCCAAGTGCTCTTTTGACTTTTAATATATTTCTGGAGTCCCTTTTTGTCTTCTTGGTCCTTAACACTTTGGTTGCATGCCTGCATTTCCTCTCCTGCTTGTGTGCACTTCTCATCTGCCATGTCTAGGAAGTTGTATCCTTTCCACTTGATTTAGCATTTCTTTATCTTCTGTCGTGCAGCTATCAATATGCCATCTAGGGTGGGGGCTGGAGATATAAGACAGCTTAAAGATATCATCCTTTTACTTAAACAACTATCCATCTTTTAAAGTACTTTAATATAATTTTCATAACTTTTCCGGTCAGCCAGAGTGAATACTCTCGAAAGTGTCTTTGACAGTTGGCTTTATTTTTTGAGGAGGAAACTTCTCTTGATTGACTTTGTTTGCACCGTGATTTGCAGACAAGATACTAAGAATATGGGGGTGGTGGTTGGGGCTAGTGTTAGAGTTAGTCCTGTTATAATCTCAGTTTCTCAACCCATCCAAATGAGAACACCATAGAAGTAAAAACATATTTCCTATGCAAAGGCTGCATTAAGATATGTCTAGTTCCCACCTCAACCCACTCTCTAAGTCTTTCTTGCATAAAATGCGGAGCCACCACACCACTACTGACAAAAGTGCCCTCTCCACGAACTCTCCTAGAATATTTTTTCTACTTCTGCCATGACACTTGACATAGTTAGCCAATGCATAAGCAGGGCTTCAAGCCAGGCTCTTGTGTTGCAATATCTATCCTTTCTTTATACCCCAGGTGGAGAAGAAAGTGCTTGGATATCTGAACACTAGAATAAATGATTCAAATAAGAGCTAAAACTATTAAGGGGAAAAATAAGATTTTTAAGTAATTAAAGTGAGTGATATTCATTTTCATGAAGGAATCTGAAGAATCAAGTCAATGTTTAGACATTAATTCAAAGCCATGATGGAATGAAAAGAAAATGTGACAGAGAAAGTAATAGAAATTCCCTGAGTCAAGCACTGTCTTTATTTTTGCACTCACCTACCTCCCCCCAATATCTACTTTGCACAGTATTTTAGTGTGTGCTCAAAAAAATGGGTGTTGGGTGCTTGCTTTGGCAGCACATATACTAAAATGGGAACAATACAGAGAAAGTTGTCATGGCCGTGCACAAGGATGACATGCAAATTTGTGAAACGTTCCCTATTTTTATGGTTAATGGGTACAAAAAAAAATTAGAAAATGTAAGACCTATTTTTTGATAGCACAACAGGGTGACTATAGTCAATAATAATTGTACACTTTAAATAACTAAGAGTGTAATAGGATTGTTTGTAACACAAAGTATAAATGCTTGAGGAGATGGATACCCCATTTTCCATGTTGTGATTATTATGCATTGCATACCTGTATCAAAGCATCTCATGTACCCCATGAATATATACACCAGCTATGTATGCCCAAAATTTAAAAATAAAAAATATTTTTAACATTGGTGTTGGGTAGATGGGTTCCAAGATGAATGAACTACTAAAAAACGATGCCTTCTAATTGCTCTTATTTACTTATTCTGGAGTGATAAATAGAGTGTTTGGCAAGGAGAAGCTTGCATATGTGTAGCTTAAAAGAGTCCAAAACTCAGCACGGTTGGAAATGCAGAATATTAAAGAGATTTCTTTATGGAGTTGGGCTTTTTTGACTTTTCCTTGCCTTTCTATGGATGAGGTGTGAAATAATAAGACTGTTGTGTGGTCCCTCCATAGTTCAGTTTCATTTCTGTAAAATGAAAATGATATTTATATTGGATTAATAGGTTTATTCCAAGCATTATTACTGCATGCTGACTTCTAAAGTTTCTCTTATCCCAAGGTTGTTGGTTTGAATTGTTAAAACTATAAGTCCTAAGAACAGATTTATTTATTTTATATGTATATATCTGTTTTATTTTTATAGATTTAGGGAGTACAAGTACAGATTTCTTACATTAATATTTTACATAGCGTTAGAGTCTGGGCTTTTAGTGTACTCATCACCCAAAAAGTGATTTGGTAACCCAATAGGTAGTTTTTCAACCCTTTCCTTCCTCCCACCTTCCCATCTTTTGTAGTCTCCAGTGTATATTATTTACCACTAAATGTCCATGTGTACCCTTTGTTTAGCTCCTGGTTATAAGTGAGAATATAAAGTATTTTACTCTGTTTCTGAGTTTACTCTGTTTCTGAGTTATTTTACTTAGGATCGTTGCCTCCAGTTCCTGTTCTATTGATCTGTATCTATTTTTATACCAGCACCATGGTGTTTTGGTTACTAAGCCTTGAGAGTCCTAGATTTCATAAAATGGTATGATTTCTTTTTTATGGCTGAGTAGTACTTTATGGTATTTATGGTATATGGTATTTCTGGTGTGTGTATGTATATATATCATACTATATGATATATATATATGGAATATGGTATTTATGTTATATATATGCACACACACACACTCATTAATCATCCATTAATGAATACTTAAGGTGATTCTATATCTTTGCTATTGTGAATAGTGCTGCCAAAAATATGCAAGTACAGATATCTTTTTGATATAATAATGATTTCTTTCCCATTGGGTATATACTCAGAAGTGGGATTACTGGATCAAATGGTAGTTCTATTTTTAGTTCTTGGATAAATCTCCATACTGTTTTCCATAAAGGTTGTAGCAATTTACACTGCCATCAACAACGTATTAGCATTCCCTTTTCTCCACATCCTCACAATATCTGTTGTTTTTTGACTTTTTAATATTAACCATTCTGGCTGGTGTAAGATGGTATCTCACTGTGGTTTTAATTTGCATTTATCTGATGATTAATGATGTTGAGAATGTTTTTAATATGTTTATTGGTTGCTTGTATGTTTTCTTTTAAAAAGTGTGTGTTTATGTGTTTTGCCCCCTTTTTAATAGAGTTATTTATTTTTCTTGTTGAGCTGTTTGAGTTCCTTGTAGATTCCGGATATTAGCCCTTTGTCAGATGCATAGATTGCAAATATTTTCCCATTCTGTAGGCTGTCTGTTTACTGTATTTATCATTTATTTTGCTTTGTAGAAGCTTTTTAGTTTAATTAACTCTCACTTATATATTTTTGTTTTTATGATGTTTGTTTTTGAGGACTTGGTCATAAATTCTTTGCCTAGGCCAGTGTTCAGTAAAGTTTTTCCTAGGTTTTCTTCAAGGATTTTTACAGTTTCAAGTTTTACATTTCAGTCTTTAATTTCATCTTGAGTTAATTTTTGTATATGGTAAGAGATATGGGTATGGTTTCATCCGTCTGCATATGGTTATCCAATTTTTCCAGAACCATTTATTGAATAGAGTGTCCTCTCCCCAGTGTATATTTTTGTTGACTTAGTCAAAGGTCAGTTCATCATAGGTATGTGGCTTTATCAAATCTAGGGCTCTCAATGCTGTAGTAACCAAAACAGTATGGTACTGGAATAAAAAAATAGACATATAGATAAATGGTACAGAATGGAGAACTGATAAATGATTTCAGTAAAGTTTCAGGATACAAAATCAACAAGGAAAAATCTGTGGCCTTGCTAAACACCAATAATAATAATCAAGCTGAGAACCAAAACAAGAACTCAATCCTATTTACAATCGTTACAAAAAAATACATAGGCATACATTTAATGAAGGAAGTGAAAGATCTCTACAAGCAAAACTACAAAACACTAATCATAGATGACACAAACAAATGGAAAATCACCCCATGCTCATGGATTTGAAGAATCAATATCATTAAAATGACTGTACTGCCCAAAGCAATGTACATATTCAACACCATTTGATTACATTACCAATGTCATTTTTCACAGGATTAGAAAAAAAATCCTAAAATTCATGTGGAACCAAAAAAGGGCTTTAATAGCCAAAGCAATCCTAAACAACCAGAACAAAGCTGGAGGCATCGCATATCTGTCTTCACATTATACTAAAGACAGATTTATACCATGAGAGTAGACCTGATGTACAGCAGTGCACTTCACTAATTGTATTGACTGTTAAGAAATTACAATAATTTTATTCTATATGGTAACTAACCACTGCTCAAATCCCCCCTGAAAATTGTCCCCCCAATGCCACCCTGGATGCCTGGGTTCCCAAATCTCCTCAGTGTTAATCCAGAAACAAGAGTTAACATTTAGCCCCAGAGGGACCTCCAGGACGCTGCTTCTCTCTTATGACCGTACAGATTTATTCTGATTAGTCCTGTAATTTCCATATGACTTATTAAATATTTTGAACATCACATCCATACATACTTTCCAGACAAGAAATTTGGATGTGGGAGAACATTCTTTAATAAAGAAACACATAAATTCTCATTTAAAAAAACTGCTTTTTTTTTCTTTCTTTTTTTTTTATTATACTTTAAGTTTTAGGGTACATGTGCACATTGTGCAGGTTAGTTACATACGTATACATGTGCCATGCTGGTGTGCTGCACCCACTAACTCGTCATGTAGCATTAGGTATATCTCCCAATGCTATCCCTCCCCGCTCCCCACACCCCACAACAGTCCCCAGAGTATGATATTCCCCTTCCTGTGTCCACGTGATCTCATTGTTCAATTCCCACCTATGAGTGAGAATATGCGGTGTTTGGTTTTTTGTTCTTGCGATAGTTTACTGAGAATGATGATTTCCACTTTCATCCATGTCCCTACAAAGGACATGAACTCATCATTTTTTACGGCTACATAGTATTCCATGGTGTATATGTGCCACATTTTCTTAATCCAGTGTATCATTGTTGGACATTTGGGTTGGTTCCAAGTCTTTGCTATTGTGAATAATGCCGCAATAAACATACGTATGCATGTGTCTTTATAGCAGCATGATTTGTAGTCCTTTGGGTATATACCCAGTAATGGGATGGCTAGGTCAAATGGTATTTCCAGTTCTAGATCCCTGAGGAATCGCCACACTGACTTCCACAATGGTTGAACTAGTTTACAGTCCCACCAACAGTGTAAAAGTGTTCCTATTTCTCCACATCCTCTCCAGCACCTGTTGTTTCCTGACTTTTTAATGATTGCCATTCTAACTGGTGTGAGATGGTATCTCATTGTGGTTTTGATTTGCATTTCTCTGATGGCCAGTGATGATGAGCATTTTTCATGTGTTTTTTGGCTGCATAAATGTCTTCTTTTGAGAAGTGTCCGTTCATGTCCTTCGCCCACTTTTTGATGGGGTTGTTTGTTTTTTTCTTGTAAATTTGTTTGAGTTCATTGTAGATTCTGGATATTAGCCCTTTGTCAGATGAGTAGGTTGCGAAAATTTTCTCCCATTTTGTAGGTTGCCTGTTCACTCTGATGGTAGTTTCTTTTGCTGTGCAGAAGCTCTTTAGTTTAATTAGATCCCATTTGTCAATTTTGGCTTTTGTTGCCATTGCTTTTGGTGTTTTAGACATGAAGTCCTTGCCCATGTCTATGTCCTGAATGGTAATGCCTAGGTTTTCTTCTAGGGTTTTTATGGTTTTAGGTCTAACGTTTAAGTCTTTAATCCATCTTGAATTCATTTTTGTATAAGGTGTAAGGAAGGGATCCAGTTTCAGCTTTCTACATATGGCTAGCTAGTTTTCCAAACACCATTTATTAAATAGGGAATCCTTTCTCCATTGCTTGTTTTTGTCAGGTTTGTCAAAGATCAGATAGTTGTAGATATGTGACATTATTTCTGAGGGCTCTGTTCTGTTCCATTGATCTATATCTCTGTTTTGGTACCAGTACCATGCTGTTTTGGTTACTATAGCCTTGTAGTATAGTTTGAAGTCAGGTAGTGTGATGCCTCCAGCTTTGTTCTTTTGGCTTAGGATTGACTTGGCAATGTGGGCTCTTTTTTGGTTCCATATGAACTTTAAAGTAGTTTTTTCCAATTCTGTGAAGAAAGTCATTGGTAGCTTGATGGGGATGGCATTGAATCTATAAATTACCTTGGGCAGTATGGCCATTTTCACGATATTGATTCTTCCTACCCATGAGCATGGAATGTTCTTCCATTTCTTTGTATCCTCTTTTATTTCCTTGAGCAGTGGTTTGTAGTTATCCTTGAAGAGGTCCTTCACATCCCTTGTAAGTTGGATTCCTAGGTATTTTATTCTCTTTGAAGCAATTGTGAATGGGAGTTCACTCATGATTTGGCTCTCTGTTTATCTGTTGTTGGTGTATAAGAATGCTTGTGATTTTTGTACATTGATTTTGTATCCTGAGACTTTGCTGAAGTTGCTTATCAGCTTAAGCAGATTTTGGGCTGAGACAATGCGGTTTTCTAGATATACAATCATGTCATCTGCAAACAGGGACAATTTGATTTCCTCTTTTCCTAATTGAATACCCTTTATTTCCTTCTCCTGCCTAATTGCCCTGGCCAGAACTTCCAACACTATGTTGAATAGGAGTGGTGAGAGAGGGCATCCCTGTCTTGTGCCAGTTTTCAAAGGGAATGCTTCCAGTTTTTGCCCATTCAGTATGATATTGGCTGTGGGTTTGTCATAGATAGCTCTTATTATTTTGAAATACGTCCCATCAATATCTAATTTATTGAGAGTTTTTAGCATGAAGGGTTGTTGAATTTTGTCAAAGGCTTTTTCTGCATCTATTGAGATAATCATGTGGTTTTTGTCTTTGGCTCTGTTTATATGCTCGATTATATTTATTGATTTGCGTATATTGAACCAGCCTTGCATCCCAGGGATGAAGCCCACTTGATCATGGTGGATAAGCTTTTTGATGTGCTGCTGGATTCGGTTTGCCAGTATTTTATTGAGGATTTTTGCATCAATGTTCATCAAGGATATTGGTCTAAAATTCTCTTTTTTGGTTGAGTCTCTGCCCAGCTTTGGTATCAGAATGATGCTGGCCTCATAAAACGAGTTAGGGAGGATTCCCTCTTTTTCTATTGATTGGAATAGTTTCAGAAGGAATGGTACCAGTTCCTCCTTGTACCTCTGGTAGAATTCGGCTGTGAATCCATCTGGTCCTGGACTCTTTTTGGTTGGTAAGCTATTGATTATTGCCACAATTTCAGATCCTGTTATTGGTCTATTCAGAGATTCAATTTCTTCCTGGTTTAGTCTTGGGAGAGTGTATGTGTCAAGGAATTTATCCATTTCTTCTAGATTTTCTAGTTTATTTGTGTAGAGGTGTTTGTAGTATTCTGTGATGGTAGTTTGTATTTCTGTGGGATCGGTGGTGATATCCCCTTTATCATTTTTTATTGCGTCTATTTGATTCTTCTCTCTTTTTTTCTTTATTAGTCTTGCTAGCTGTCTATCAATTTTGTTGATCCTTTCAAAAAAACCAGCTCCTGGATTCATTAATTTTTTGAAGGGTTTTTTGTGTCTCTATTTCCTTCAGTTCTGCTCTGATTTTAGTTATTTCTTGCCTTCTGCTAGCTTTTGAATGTGTTTGCTCTTGCTTTTCTAGTTCTTTTAATTGTGATGTTAGGGTGTCAATTTTGGATCTTTCCTGCTTTCTCTTGTGGGCATTTAGTGCTATAAATTTCCCTCTACACACTGCTTTGAATACATCCCAGAGATTCTGGTATGTTGTGTCTTTGTTCTCGTTGGTTTCAAAGAACATCTTTATTTCTGCCTTCATTTCGTTATGTACCCAGTAGTCATTCAGGAGCAGGTTGTTCAGTTTCCATGAAGTTGAGTGGTTTTGAGTGACATTCTTAATCCTGAGTTCTAGTTTGATTGCACTGTGGTCTGAGAGACAGTTTGTTATAATCTCTGTTCTTTTACATTTGCTGAGGAGAGCTTTACTTCCAACTATGTGGTCAATTTTGGAATAGGTGTGGTGTGGTGCTGAAAAAAATGTATATTCTGTTGATTTGGGGTGGAGAGTTCTGTAGATGTCTATTAGGTCTGCTTGGTGCAGAGCTGAGTTCAATTCCTGGGTATCCTTGTTGACTTTCTGTCTCATTGGTCTGTCTAATGTTGACAGTGGGGTGTTAAAGTCTCCCATTATTATTGTGTGGGAGTCTAAGTCTCTTTGTAGGTCACTCAGGACTTGCTTTATGAATCTGAATGCTCCTGTATTGGGTGCATATATATTTAGGATAGTTAGCTCTTCTTGTTGAATTGATCCCTTTACCATTATGTAATGGCCTTCTTTGTCTCTTTTGATCTTTGCTGGTTTAAAGTCTGTTTTATCAGAGACTAGGATTGCAACCCCTGCCTTTTTTTGTTTTCCATTTGCTTGGTAGATCTTCCTCCATCCTTTTATTTTGAGCCTATGTGTGTCTCTGCATGTGAGATGGGTTTCCTGAATACAGCACACTGATGGGTCTTGACTCTTTATCCAATTTCCCAGTCTGTGTCTTTTAATTGGAGCATTTAGTCCATTTACATTTAAAGTTAATATTGTTATGTGTGAATTTGATCCTGTCATTATGATGTTAGCTGGTTATTTTGCTCGTTAGTTGATGCAGTTTCTTCCTAGCCTCGATGGTCTTTACATTTTGGCATGATTTTGCAGCAGCTGGTACCTGTTGTTCTTTTCCATGTTTAGCGCTTCCTTCAACAGCTCTTTTAGGGCAGGCCTGGTGGTGACAAAATCTCTCAGCATTTGCTTGTCTGTAAAGTATTTTATTTCTCCTTCACTTATGAAGCTTAGTTTGGCTGGATATGAAATTCTGGGTTGAAAATTCTTTTCTTTAAGAATGTTGAATATTGGCCCCCACTCTCTTCTGGCTTGTAGGGTTTCTGCTGAGAGATCCGCTGTTAGTCTGATGGGCTTCCCTTTGAGGGTAACCTGACCTTTCTCTCTGGCTGCTCTTAACATTTTTTCCTTCATTTCAACTTTGGTGAATCTGACAATTATGTGTCTTGGAGTTGCTCTTCTCGAGGAGTATCTTTGTGGCGTTCTCTGTATTTCCTGAATCTGAACGTTGGCCTGCCTTGCTAGATTGGGGAAGTTCTCCTGGATAATATCCTGCAGAGTGTTTTCCAACTTGGCTCCATTCTCCCCATCACTTTCAGGTACACCAATCAGACGTAGATTTGGTCTTTTCACATAGTCCCATATTTCTTGGAGGCTTTGCTCATTTCTTTTTATTCTTTTTTCTCTAAACTTCCCATCTCACTTCATTTCATTCATTTCATCTTCCATTGCTGATACCCTTTCTTCCAGTTGATTGCATCGGCTCCTGAGGCTTCTGCATTCTTCACGTAGTTCTCGAGCCTTGGTTTTCAGCTCCATCAGCTCCTTTAAGCACTTCTCTGTATTGGTTATTCTAGTTATACATTCTTCTAAATTTTTTTCAAAGTTTTCAACTTCTTTGCCTTTGGTTTGAATGTCCTCCTGTAGCTCAGAGTAATTTGATCTTCTAAAGCCTTCTCTCAGCTCGTCAAAGTCATTCTCCATCCAGCTTTGTTTCGTTGCTGGTGAGGAACTGCGTTCCTTTGGAGGAGGAGAGGCGCTCTGCTTTTTAGAGTTTCCAGTTTTTCTGTTCTGTTTTTTCCCCATCTTTGTGGTTTTATCTACTTTTGGTCTTTGATGATGGTGATGTACAGATGGGTTTTTGGTGTGGATGTCCTTTCTGTTTGTTAGTTTTCCTTCTAACAGACGGGACCCTCAGCTGCAGGTCTGTTGGAATACCCTGCCTTGTGAGATGTCAGTGTGCCCCTGCTGGGGGGTGCCTCCCAGTTAGGCTGCTCGGGGGTCAGGGGTCAGGGACCCACTTGAGGAGGCAGTCTGCCCGTTCTCAGATCTCCAGCTGCGTACTGGGAGAACCACTGCTCTCTTCAAAGCTGTCAGACAGGGACATTTAAGTCTGCAGAGGTTACTGCTGTCTTTTTGTTTGTCTGTGCCCTGCCCTCAGAGGTGGAGCCTACAGAGGCAGGCAGGCCTCCTTGAGCTGTGGTGGGCTCCACCCAGTTCGAGCTTCCCGGCTGCTTTGTTTACCTAAGCAAGCCTGGGCAATGGCGGGCGCCCCTCCCCCAACCTCGCTGCCGCCTTGCAGTTTGATCTCAGACTGCTGTGCTAGCAATCAGGGAGACTCCGTGGGCGTAGGACCCTCCGAGCCAGGTGCGGGATAGAATCTCTTGGTGTGCCGTTTTTTAAGCCAGTCGGAAAAGCGCAGTATTCGGGTGGGAGTGACCCGATTTTCCAGGTGTGTCTGTCACCCCTTTCTTTGACTCAGAAACGGAACTCCCTGACCCCTTGCGCTTCCCAAGTGAGGCAATGCCTCGCCCTGCTTCGGCTCGCGCACGGTGCGCGCACCCACTGACCTGCGCCCACTGTCTGGCACTCCCTAGTGAGATGAACCCGGTACCTCAGATGGAAATGCGGAAATCACCGTCTTCTGCGTCGCTCACGCTGGGAGCTGTAGACCAGGGCTGTTCCTATTCGGCCATCTTGGCTCCTCAAAAAAACTGCTTTTTTACACGGAACCCACGAACATGAAAAAATAAAAAAACCTTGATTATTAGCCTCAGGTATGTTCACAAAAGTATAGATATGTTTTTCATCATTCATTTCCAAAAACATTATCAGAGATTTGGAGCAAAAAGGTGCTGTTACCTTATCATTCTGAAGTTTTGTGTATGCCTATGATGTTGGTATAATTTTCATTGTTACAACCATTATGATACTTATTCACAGAAAGCGTGCATTAAGCACTTATTGTGTGTCAGGCTTTGTAATAAATTATGGTGATACAGAGACTGACTTGCTAGGTCCCTAAGATCCCATAATCTAGTTTGAGAAGAGTATGGAGAAGGAACATGTAAGCAGTTAAACTGCAATTCAGAGTGATCATCACAGTATTAGAGATGAACAGGAAGTGTGCCTGGAGCTCTGAATACTTTCAGCCACTTCTAACCTGAGGAGCTAGGGAAAACTTCAGTATGTGCTTACATTTCACATAAATCTGAAACAATTAGAAATTATTTGTTAGAGACATACATGTAGCTGTGTATGAGGTAAAGGGAATAGCACATTTAAATTCATAGAGTCTAAAAGTCGCCATATGTGTTCCAGTATTATTGGAGCTCAAGAAATGTGGGAAAGAGACTAGGAAGTGCAGTCCCAGGGAGCCTTCTCTGATGGCTTGTGTGGGGAATTGCTGAATAAGCTAGAAAGGGTTTATCAATCTCGTGTAATGAAGACTCAATGGAGTTTTAGCCACAATATGGAGAGCTCACATGTGCTATTGAGGTGGTTGTGTTAACTCTTCTTTTTTTTTTTTTTAGATGGAGTCTTGTGCTGTCACCCAGGCTGGAGTGCTGTGGCGCGATCTCGGCTCACTGCAAGCTCCGCCTCCTGGGTTCACGCCATTCTCCTGCCTCAGCCTCCCAAGTAGCTGGGACTACAGGCGCCCGCCACCATGCCTGGCTAATTTTTTTGTGTATTTTTGGTAGAAACGGGGTTTCACCGTGTTAGCCAGGATGGTCTTGATCTCCTGACCTCGAGATCTGCCCGCCTCGGCCTCCCAAAGTGCTGGGATTACAGGCGTGAGCCACTCGCACCCGGCCGTGTTAACTCTTAGTAAGTAGTAGAAGCCAGTGTGAGGTACAGGGAGACCAGACAGGAGGCTGTTTCTATGTGTGAGAAACTTTTATCCACTAGAAGTTCATATAAAGACACATTTGGGAAATAAAGTTGTTGTAGAGAAAGATACACCATCCCCACCGTGGATAGCATCCAGATTAATGCTGGAAATCACATTTCAATTAGAAAATTGCTTAGGAAACATGATGTCAGAAGAAGGAGAGCCATGTAATTCAAGTCTTTGGTGGCATCTCTTTCAAGTTTCCCAGTGCACCTGACTCAGAAGATAGAATCAGTCTGTTAGCTGAGGTCTCTCTGTGCTGGAGAAGCATGAAAAGGGCCCCACCAGCATAGACTCAGTTCTCTTTGAAGTTTAAGATCCATCTACAAATGGCCATGTTCTTTCCTTAGCAGAAGGTATTGGGGTTTCTACATACATGCTACTCACTGCTCACGTGTAAGTAAGGTAAAATTTGAGCAAGTGGAAAATGACCCTGCTGTAATCCAGATCATAATATTTCTAAATAAGCACACACAATAGTCAACCAACCTACTTCATGATCTTTTATGGAACAAGGCAGAGACAAGGCCACTCTGCACCCACAAAAATGTATAAGTATGCACTTCTGACCTATGTGAGGTAAGTGTCTGCTACTTCTCTGTCAATGGCAAGCCCTACTACCGTCCTCCAGCATATTGGATTTGTAGGCCACTCAGTTAGCAATTGTCTTCACTTCTACATAGCATTCAATCCTTAATGTACTCCTGCTTTTCTTAGCCTATAGAGTAGTTCAAACTCCCAGGGAGGCTGTTTTGTTAGAAGGAATGAAGTCACTATGGATATATTGAAAATCTCATCTACAATAGTTAAAAGTCCATAATTTAGGGTTAGTGTGAGGATATTCATTCAATAAGTATTTACTGAATAACTATTGGATAGCAGGTGATGAGTTAGTTATTAGGAATACATATACCCACATACATGCACAAACACACACACACATACAGACACATACACAGATATATAACATGTTTGTATCTTCCAGAAGCATACGGTTTATGGGATAAACAAAGGGAGATAATGAAGGTTATTATTTCTAGTAGCAAGTTTGAGAATATCCCATAGGGTGAGGCTCATTTTTGTTAGACTTTGATAAATCATCTCAAAGGCTAGGCCTCCCAGACGTGTGTGTTATCTGTGGCTCAAGACTATGAGTAGCAGTCATAGCTATGATTGAAAGAATGAGAGACAAAGAGCAGAAAGAGTGGGGAGTAGTTCTGTGACCTAAATGGTGAAAAGGCCCCAGAGAAGAAAGCCTTTACTGGGCAACACTATAGAGAGTTTTGTAGAGAACAGAAATATCCAATGGGAATTTATTTTTTGCTAAAGTTTTCTCTGTCTTATAATATGTTATCTGGATGAAATCTGTGGACAACTGTGGGATTGTGGGGGTGCAAGGTGGCAACCTGCAGAGCAAAGCATGTGCAAAGGCCTGAGGGGACATGGGAAATTTAAACAATTGTGGCTTGTGTATTGAAAGTGGGGGGCAGTTATTATGTATGAGATGAGGAGTGAGAGACACAGAGGGCTTGGGAAGATTTTGGTCTTCATCGTAAGAGCCGAGATAAGCCATGACATGATTTTTTGAACAGCAGTGACTGATTGCTATGTGGTTTTTTTTTTTTTTTGCATATATTATGGAAACAGATTTTATTGTAAATAATTCATTTTAGGGTGGGTAGCATGTGCACAGACAGGTCTGTAAGGAATATTCCAGGTAAGATGAGATGGAAAGAAGTGGTAAATTCAAAAGATATTTAGGAGTTAGAATCAAGAGTATTTGGTGATTGCGCATGCAGGATCAAGAGAATGGCTACTAGGTTTCTGGCCTGGACAATGGGATCAGTGGTGTCACATTAACTGAGACTGGGAGTGCTAAAGTGCAAGTTTCTTGAGGAAGAGCAAGAATTCCATTTTCTATAAGCAAATTCTGAGCTGCTTTTGGGATGTCCATCAAGAGGGGAAAGATAAGCACAGTGTGCTGCATTGTGCCAGCAACATAGAAACCTCCGTAAGTAATATTCAGGTTCAACTCAGTAGTTAATATTCAGGTTCAACTCAGTAGTTAAGGAAGAAACCAGTCATCGTTTCAATTCATTAATAAATTAACTTTCATTGCAAAATCTGTGGGGATTTCTGTCTTCCAACCCAACATTTTCTTCCCATTTTGCCTTTAATGAATTCACCACCACCACCTCTCACTGTGCATTTAATTACTCTACTGATTACTTACTATGTATGCTACGTGATGTGGAAAGAATAGAAAACTTAAAAGCAAAGCACTCTCCCTGACCTCCCTGGGGATAGAGACCGAAACGTATAAAAAAAATAAGAAAACACATTAAACTACATGTAACAAGTGCCAGATGAGTGATCCAGATAATTGCACAGTCCCTGTGGCCCCTAGTGATGGGGTACTATTTCTAATGCCAGCAGCAGTGCTTCCTTAAACTGATCCCTAGACCTTGGTCATGGTGCTTGGAAAACCCTTTCTTAGCACCATCTCTGCTCATCTTAATCCTAACACTCCTTTATTCTTCCTGTCCCTCTTTTTTTGGAAAATCCTTTCCAATTGTTTTGCTTTGTTTTCTTCTCGTTTGTCCTCTATGCTGCTGGGCTGATTTTTCCCTCCTTTAATGAAATTCCATGCTCTTTCTCTAAGTTGTTTTGGAGCCCTTCTTATATCCTAACTTACTTCGCTTCCCAGAAATTTTTAAAATAGAGTTTTTGTTCACTATAACACTTTTTTTTTTTTTTTTTTTTTTTCCTGTTTTGAGACAGGGCCTCACTCAGCCCTGTCTCAAACAGGCTGGGGTGCAGTGGCGCAATACCAGCTCACTGCAACCTCGACCTCCTGGGCTCAGGTGATCCTCCCACCTCAGCCTTCTGAGTAGCTGGGGTCACAGGCGTGCGCCACCATGCCCAAATAATTTATTATTATTATTATTTGTATAGATGGGGGTCTCCCTATGTTGTCGAGGCTGGTCACAGACTCCTGGGTTCAAGTGATCCTCCCACCTTGGCTCCTGTAGTTCTGAGATACAGGTGTGAGCCAGAGTGCCTGGCCTGTGATACCACTTTTTAACACAAACAATTAGAAAAATGCTGTATAAAAAAGTTGTCCTTTTTTTTTTTTTTGACAGAGTTTCGCTCTTGTTACCCAGGCTAGAGTGCAATGGCGCAATCTCAGCCCGCTGCAACCTCCACCTCATGGGTTCAAGTGATTCTCCTGCCTCAGCCTTCCAAGTAACTGTGAATACAGGTGCCTGCCACCATGCCTGGCTAATTTTTTGTATTTTTAGTAGAGACAGGGTTTCACCATGTTGGCCAGGCTGGTCTCCAACTCCTGATCTCAGGTGATCCACCCATCTTGGCCTCCCAAATTGCTATGATTATGGATGTGAGCCACCGCGCTGGGCCAAAATTTCTCCCTTCTGTAAATTCCTATTCCGTGCCTCTGTGTCATGCCATCCATAAGCCCAAGGATTAAAGATGTGAAGACCTGCTCTGCTCAGTGGAAGCAAGCTCATGGTCCAGTCAGACAGTCAGATGGGAGCTTCAGAAGCTGATGGATGTGGAGAGAATGATGTCTGATAGCAGGGCCCACTCTGAAATAAGGGAACTTAAAGAAAGCCTTGAAATACAAATTGGTATTCACGGGAACATAAGGCCCCTCCTGTTTACTTACAGGAACCTTCATCCATATAATTGTTTTGAAGGCAATAGCTCTATAACAAATTATTTACCAAATTACATTCCTAGAAACAGAAGTTTGATTAAGTACATGCCAAAATAGTACCATATAGCATAGCCAGCTTAGTGTATTGGACTGTCTTAAAAGTGGCATAGCTTTAAAAAATATAAACAAGCTTCCAAAAGTGTTGAATTTGCTCACAGATGAGAGTTTTTGATTACTAAGATACACCAAGGTTGTTTAGGATCATAACTTTTATAGTTTGGCATTAGATCTTATCCATGTTCTCATTCTCACAAATGTTCCGTGTTTCTTCTTCAGAATAAAACACTCAGCTGGATACATTAGAGCACACTGTGCCACCTTAGGGCACAGAAAGAAAATAAAGAATTGCACCTTACATTTTATTTTTGGCTCATTCTTATTTATGTTCTATTTTATGTGTTTTGTAGTGTATCTTGTATGTTGAAAATTAAACAAATAGATGTATGAATACATACATGAACTTTAATCAGATGTACAAATGTAGGAGGATATCATCCAAAATTATTAGCATCTCTTTAGTAGGCTTTGTTTGGTTGTAAGTGATAGAAAACCTCAGTAAGAGTGACTTGGACACAGTATGCTTATTATTTAGTCAAGAAAAATCTAAGTAGGTGGTCTTAGAGTTAGCGTAGCAACCTCGTGAGTTTATTAAGGGTCCAGAATTTGCCTATATTTCCATACACATATTTTGCATGATGACTTTCAAGAATAAAATTTCACCTCATGATGAATTACACTTACCTTAGCCAATGCCTCTGTGATTTCAGGTGGGTAATACTATGTAGATAATATATAGTAAAATGCATAGGTATATTCTAAGGTTTCAAATGTATTGATAATTGCAGTTATTTACTTAGAGAATGATCATACCCAATATTTTATTATTGTTTATTATATTGTCATTAAAAAGTTATAATAATGTTGTTTTCTTTGAATTCAGTAAAGTCATTGTGAAGGTTAAGCATGTGCATTTTAAATTAATTTGGAGATTCTTTAAGCTATGGAAATGGAAAGCCTCAGTACATGTTAAGCCTGATATCTGAGCTTTCCCACCCCAGACTTTTGCAGAGCCATTGACTTGGGTCTCTGATCCTCTGTAATGTGCTGATAGATGATAACATGATGGAGAAATCAGTTGGTAGAATGGGGCGGTAACCACTAGAGATAGCAGTTGTCAGATGGAAATTAATTGATTGTAATTGCTTTGCCATTGTATTGCACTTGAAGTCTGTAGCTTGTTAAAACCACTGATTATAAAATAAGGATCTCACTTTTTATGCTGTAGATTATGTTAATGAAAGCTGTTCTTAGAAGCATGATCAGTGAATATCAATAAATGGATAATAAGAAATTAAAGGAAAAGTTAACTAACTGATCATGAGTTAATATACTTCAGCAGCCAGAGTAGCAGTCAACTGTGCACCGTTTCATATTGAATTTTTTGCTCAGAGCTCTTGAATTTTAAATATTTCCCATAGAGAGATTGATTCTGTGTGACTGTTTATCACGTACTGTCTTGAATAACAGATCTTTTCTGTAGAGAATCTCCTGCAAGATGGAAAATGTGTGTGTTTTGCAGAGCCTTTATTTTGTGCCAAAGTATTAACAAGCAGATATTTTGAAATGGAAAACATAAGTTCCCATTGCAATACCAATAGTGGTTTATTTCAGTGCTCGTGGAATATGAGTAACATATGTGTGAGGGTCTGTGTGAATCTGAAGGCCTTGCTGTTGCAATCTTTATCAATATTATAAAAAGTATACTAAAATGATAACATAAATGTTAAATTATACTTCACTTTTTGCTGTACAAAATGCGTTAACTTTTATAAAATTATAATGAGGTTTTTAATTATAGCTTTCATTTATAGCATTTAATTGTTGATGTTAGAGAGATCAGAGATTTTGGAGATATTTTTCTGAACACCAGTTCTCATTAAGCCTCCATGCAGGCCCTCAAGGACCTTACAGAAGAAAGGAACAGATAAAACAAAGAAAGGATTACTTGCAGTGTTGAATGCAGTGATGAAAGTGATAAGAGGCACTGGGAGGCACAAGATGAGATCATCTAAGTTCTGAGGATTTCTGGGTGTCTTCAACAAAGAATGAAGGTCTGGGAAGAAGGAGCAGTGTGACAGTTCTTGGTATTTTGGGGAAATAGAATGATAGTTGAAAATTAAGTTGCATAAAGTTTTAGAGTGCAAGAAGAGACCAGACAGATAAACATATAGATGGCCCATGCCCTGGTTTGCCCTACTGTGGATTTTAAAGTTATTCCCACAGGAGAGCCCATGAGGATTTTTAGATGTGGGAGAGACAGGGGTGAGTTTCCTTTTAAACTGCTCGCTCACCATCAGTTGTGACGATAATCAGGGAAGAAGCTCATTGTGACCTTCATTTACTGTCTTAGTCCATTTTCTATTGCTTTAACTGAATACCCGAAGCTAGGTAATTTATAAAGAAAATACATTTATTTTTTGCAGTTTTGGAGGCTGGGAAGTCTAAGGTCAAGGGGCTGCATCTGCTGAGGGCATTCTTGCTGGCAAGGACTCTGCAAGCCCTGAGGCAGTGCAGGGCATCACATGGATAGGGAGTAAGAGCATGTCAACTCAGTCCTTCTTTCTCTTCTTGAACAGCCAACAGTTCCATCATGGGGGCCTCACCCTGATGACCTTATCCATTCCTGATTACCTCCCAAAGGGCCCCATCTTCAAATATCATCAACATATGATTTTGAGGATTAATTTTCCAACACATGGAATTTGGGAGACACATTAAAACAAGAGCGGTTAATAAGCTGGTATAATATCCCATGCTTGAATATTATTATTAATCTAAATCTCTGTAAAGGAAATTAAAAGCTTAAGCATTGAATAATTTTTTCTTCTTTGACTTTTTAAGTATATTTTTTGTTGAATGTTGTGGTGGAATTGGAGCTAATAGTTGCTTAAAACTCTGTAATTGGAACAATGTCTACATGTGGTAATAGAGTCTGTATCTTATAGATAGCACTTATTTATTGTTATTCTCATATTTGGGATGCAGATATTGATGTATAACTTAATTTGAAAATGTAAGTAATTATGATTTTAAGAATGCATGTTTAAGATATGCTAAAAAATGGCAATAATTGGTCCTGTTAAATATTTACCAGAAACATTCTTCATATTTGAGAATCTGTTTCAGAATTTAGAACATTTGCATTTTAATTACATAATAAAAGGAGAAAGTGAAAGAATAATTGGCTTAGCTATTAGCCAATTATAGCTGTAACTGAAAAAAAAATCCCCCAAACTGACATTGGATTCCACAGAACAGTCACAATATACATTGATCAGATGTTTAATTATATTTGGCAGCAATAAAGGGAAGGGAATGTTGTTTCAATCCTTCATACAACATGTTTGTTAAAACTGAAATTAATGAGGGTGGATTTGGGGTGTTTGACTTAGGATCATTCAGCTTTTAGTGTTTACTTGTCCACAAATGGGGCTTCTCCAGAGTGACTCCAATAGATAAAATTTAGTGGAGAAATAAGACAATTGAATATAGTGGTTACAGCCAGCTGCATTTGGTCAGTACCAAGGAGGGTTGGAGCTGTCTGTCTAGAGTCCCAGAGGTCAGAGCCCATGAGAAGGCCTCCATACAGAGATCCAGAGCCAGTGACAGGAGTTGTTGGTGTCAGAATGTACTGCTGACAGCGTTTCCCCCTGTGCTTTCCCTGACAGATACGACGACATATTCCACAGAGCGATCCGAGCACTTCAAACCCTGCCGAGACAAGGACCTTGCATACTGTCTCAATGATGGCGAGTGCTTTGTGATCGAAACCCTGACCGGATCCCATAAACACTGTCGGTAAGCCACTGAGGCCACTGATGGAAAGGGCAGGCCCGTTGCAAGGCGTGGGGGTGGAGGGTGCTGGCAGCATCTGGTATGTGTCATATCCGGGATACACACAGTCCCACCGTTTGAATAGCAGAATTGCGAGTCTTAATTTGGAAAGGGCAAGGCTGCTGCCTCTTTAACAGTGGAAGAAGACAAAATGGAAACAAAGTAGTTACGGTTTAAGTTTTACCTGACCAAGCAAACAAAGATTTACTTTTAGATCTGCAAAGTTAATGGAAATAATTATTTACACACTTTAGAAGCGTCTGTTTATGATGTGGAGCTTAGGCATATATCCTAGTACTCAGAAATAATCTGTTCTTGAGAACCTACAGACTGTGGCAGGAGAAGCAAACTGCTCATCTAAGATCTAGAATCTCAGTGTTTATTGTGAACCAACCCCAGAGACTTGAACTGTGTCCAGAGAGAACTGCATTTTATTTTGTTTCTGCCTTCCTTTATTAATTTCAGTACTTTTTCTTAACACCTCTGATGAAACACTCTCCAGCAAGAAGTTGTAAATGAAATAGTAGTCCTGTTATAGTCTAGGTAGAGAACTACTTGGGGAAAACTCCCAGTAGAGATCAGGAAGGTGTTTAATTGGTTTTTAGAGACATAAGGTTATGTAACTGCTAAAAATAAAAACAAGGGGGGATAAAGAGTGCACTTATAGACACTGTGGCTTTAAGACTCAATAGAAGAATCAAATTAACATCTGAAAAATATTTCTTACCAAGCTTTCATTTCCAGTATTACCCTGGTAATTTGTTTTTCTTTGCAATTGTGTATGCATCAGTGATCATATATATCCACACCCCTTTTCTTCTCTTTATTTACTCTTCTCGTATGACACAGTTATTAAATTAATTATTCTGAATAGTGAGGCATGGAAAATTATGACTTTTTTCTATTACTATTATAAAACTCTATTCCCATGTTGTTTCACTAAGATGGTGTAGAGAAATGCATTGTATAGTTATGAACTTAGAACATGCCATGCCAGCAGAAGCTGCCTGGATCCAAGAGCCAGGTTTAGTCCACAGGGAAGATGTATTGCCACACTGAGCAATGGCACAGGTTTGGAAGAACAGATACGTGATATAGTAGGAGGGCTCTGTAAAAGTTACCATATGTCCTGTGTCAGGACAAATAGAACTGTGACCTTTCCTCACCCCTGACATGTGGTGTTCATATATGACTTTGGCAGTGCCGCTGCATTCACCCTAGTTACAAAATTTGCACCCTATTCCTATGCTCTGCAAACCTGGGTTGGGGAAGAAGGGGAGTGGGGATTGTTTCTCTCCACACTCCTCCTCTCTCATATTTATTGTGACTGTGCATGTATGGATACAAAGCACACAAGTGACATTAAGACCTTAAGGGAAAATCCAGGAATGAGCTACTCCTTCAAAGCGTGATGTGCATGCAAGCTCTTTTAGATCCTCAACCATGTTACAGTGGCCAATCTAATGGGATAATCATTTGGAAGTGGCCAATGCAATCAATTATGTTTGAATTCGTAATCAATTGAAGAAGGGATGAATCAGAAGCATTAGCTAAAGTAGTGGCTTTCTTTGATGGTGTTTTACCAAGAGGAGGAATCAGATCAGGTCCCACCACAGTATGCAGGCTGAGATGATTCATCTTTTCCAAAAACTGAGACTATCAGGAGAACAAAGTAATTCTTCTTTTTCTGCATATGGCTATGCTGTATTCTTCATTACTTCATGAGTGTATGAATTTGCTAGGACTGCTGTTACAAAGTGCTACAGACTGGGTGGCTTCACTATGGAAATTTACTTTCTCACAGTCCCGGAGGTCAGAATTCCAAGATCAAGGTGTCAGCAGAGTTGATTCCTTTTGAGGCCTCCCTCCTTGACTTATAGATGGTCAAGGAGATGTACCTTATTATGTTTCCTCTGTAGGTGTTTGTGTTCAGAGTTGATTCCTTTTGAGGCCTCCCTCCTTGACTTATAGATGGTCAAGGAGATGTATCTTCTCATCATGTTTCCTCTGTAGGTGTGTGTGTTCCAAATTTCCTCTAAGGACATCAGCCATATTAGATTAGATCACATCCTCATTACCTTATTTTAACTTCATTACTTCTGTGAAGACCTTTCTCCAAATATGATCACATTCTGAGGAACTGGAGTTTACTTCATGTAGGGATTTTATATTTTTGTAGATAAATTCAGTCCATAACAATGAGTCTCATGTCCATAAAAGAAAAATCCTTTGCTTTTGTGAGATGCATGTACATCTCTAATTTTTGTAACACACATAAGCAGATATATACCTATAGTTTAAGTGAAATGATGTACATATTTAATAATTTTGGCCTTCTGTCTTCATATTTCTTGCATATTTCAGTACAGACAGCCTGTTATTTAACATAGACTCACAACATAGCTAATCATGACAAAAGACTAGCCTAAGACAAAATTGGAACTCGAGTAGGTTAATAGATGCCTATAAATCTCCTACTGGTGTGTATGAATAAATCACACATCACATGTGCCTGCTATTCATCTCTCAAGCTTTGCTGTGAATAAAAGGCTTACATTTGTTCCTGCATCAGCCACTTCTAAAAATTCCAATGTAGTTATTAATAAAGTGCCATTTTGTACAGCACTCTATTTAAGTAGTATGTTTCAGTCATACTCCTATTCAACAAATGTTTACTGAGCACCTCCTATCACTAAGATACTATTGAATAAATACATACAGAAATGAATTTAAAAATTAAATGTCACAGTGCTTTGTAATGTGTTTGGAGTAAGAAAAATACTTCATCGTTAGGAAATTTTAAAAAGCAAAATACTTCAGTGACTGACATGCTACCAGGAGTATGTTTATGACATAGTAGTTACTGGATTTTGTTTCAAGTTAAATAAGATGCCATTTAATAGATCTGAGCAGCAATATAAAGGCTTATGCATGACCCTGGCTTATTCAATAGTTTATTTTTTTGTGTCTCAAAAGATTAGACATCTAAATCTGAAAGAAATTAAAATTATATTTCCTAGATTAAAAAAAATTGTAATCCTATAATAAACTGCATCAAATATTTTTCTGTGTTGTGAAAATAGACCATGCTCTGACACATTTCTGTTTTCTTCTCAAGGAACGATAAGAACACAATTACCAAACTATTCGTGATAGAAATCCTGAAAGTACATGCAAAAAAAAAAAAAAAAAAAAAAAAAAAAAAGGACAATAATAATCCCAGAAAAGGGAGGAGTTGAAAGTGGGGGACATGTTTGTTTCTTCATAATTTTCTTATTCCAGTTCTTCAAGAAACACTTGTGGTACCAGTACTTAGAAATTATAAAGCAATTTAATTAAAAAAAAAAAACTTGACAGAAGGATTTTTAAAGAACAAGAAATAGAGAAAATAGATTTTCCTAAATTCAAAATATAATGTGTATATATATATGTGTGTGTGTGTGTGTGTGTGTGTGTGTGTGTGTGTGTGTGTGTATTTTATTTTTCTGAGAGGGACCCTTGCTCTGTCACTCAGGTTGGAGCACAGTGGTATGATCTTGGCTCACTGCAGCCTCAATCTCCTGAGCTCAGGCCATTCTCCCTACACAGCCTTCTGAGTAGCTGGGACTACAGGTGCTCACCACCATGCCCAGATAATTTCTGGGTTTTTTTTTTTTTTTTTTTTTCGTAGAAATGGGGCCTCACTAGGTTGCCCAGGCTGGTCTCCAACTCCTGGACTTAAGTGATCCTCCTGCCTCAGCTTCCTAAAATGTTGGGATTACAGGTGTGAGTTACTATGCCCAGCCTGAAAATATAAAGCCACAGATTATCCACAGGCTAATTAGTGAAAACAGATTGTGGTATATTGTGGGACTTAGTATAGAACAAGGCTTGATTCATAAACCAGAGGAAAATGAGAGACTGATTGTTCAATAAATGATTGACTATCAGGTAAATAGAATCAGAAGTGTATGTTGACCCCTCTTTCTATACCAAAAGTATACTAATGATTTCAAAAGTTAATGTAATAAACAAATAAAGCCTAAGGAAAATAATAAGTAAAATTACATGTTTATTTATGTTCAGCAATTGTAAGGACCTTGTGAGCAAATAAAAGCAATGGAAGGCAAAAATTAACAACTTTGACACAGCATTTTTTTATCTGAATATCATAAATCAGAAACAAAATTAAAAGACAAACTGTGAGGAAACCGAATAACAAATATGGCAAAGAATTAAAACCCTGAAGAAGTCATGTAGATCAAAGGGTAACATTAAAATAAAAGCTCAATAGGGAAATTGACAAAGGGGAGGAACATAATCTATCTAAAAAGAAATACAGATAACCAGCAAACAAATATACTCAGCCTCACAGAGAAATGCAAATTAGGTGTTTTTTTCCTATCCTTTATTTAAAGATTTTTAAAAGTGACTACTATACCCAGTTTGGTAAGGGGGCTGTGAAAACACGTGTCCACAAATACTACTTGAGGGAGTGCACTTTGTTAAATATTTTTTGTAGGTAATATTTTAGTATGTTTTAAAAGCCTTATACTGTTTTTTGTTTGTTTGTTTGTTTGTTTGTTTTTTGAGACGGAGTCTCGCTCTGTCACCCAGGCTGGAGTGCGGTGGCGTGATCTAGGCTCACTGCAAACTCCGCTTCCCAGGTTCACGCCATTCTCCTGCCTCAGCCTCCCTGGTAGCTGGGACTACAGGCACCTGCCACCACACCTGGCTGATTTTTTGTAGTTTTTTAGTAGAGACGGGGTTTCACTGTGTTAGCCAGGATGGTCTCAATCTCCTGACCTCGTGATCCACCCACCTCAGCCTCCCAAAGTGCTGGGATTACAGGCGTGAGCCACCACACCTGGCCCATAGACATGCTTGTGAATATTTATTTGTAGGGATGCTCACCACATTTTTATCTGTAATAGCAAAAATTTTTAACAAGTATGAATTATGAATTTAAATGTCTATATAAATTAGAATATATTTGTACATTGAATGAATTTTCACAGTGTTTTGAGGATATCCAATGGTCACTATGTCATGTTAGGTATAAAAATGTAATATGAAATTGCAAACTTGAACATATAGTAGAATCCTAATTCTGAAAAAAAAACTAAAAAGGTTGATAGTTTACAACTATTTCCTTCTTTCAACTTGGCAAATTTTCTAACATCTCTATATTACACATATATTTCATTTATGTAACACCCGGTTAAGAGAGTTGACTCCTGCCTCTAGTCTTTCCATTAAGAAATATAGATAGTGTCCTTGTCTCTTTAAAATCAAGGTCATTATAATTCACTATTATTGAGCTGATAAGAGAACTTTCAATTAAGTGCTTCCAGATTAAGCACTACTAAGTCTATTTGAATGTGTCTGCTCCTTCTTTTATTAATAATTCATTGATACTTTTTATAATAATTCTTTTTCATGTTGAAATCATGTTTTGAAAACATTAAAAACATTGGATTTAATAAAAGGTAGATACACCCCATAGAAATGAAGCTGGATGAAGAAGGAAAATAAGTCAGCAGAAACACTTTGAATCAAAATATTCTGAATAAAATCAGAATATTCTATGATCTTTTCATTTTTATGCCATTTCTAGAAATTTTAAAAATGTTGGCAATGGTGCTATGTATAATATACTGCACTAGATTGAAAAGAGGTAGCCACTGTAATTGAAAAGATTGCTACACATTTGAATGGACCAAATGTGTTTTAAGACCAAATTCAAGTAAAAAGGATGTGTCTCTTCTGAACTGAAGCTCATTAAATGTTTCACCGGCCTTCCTGCAAAAATGGATTTTCAAAACTTTGGAAAGGATAGCATTTAAGCTGAATTTGACCTGTATTGACCATTTTGGAAATCAGCCAAGCAATTCGCTTGAAGATACTTGAAGCACTTGAAATATGGAATTGCTGGAAAAAGAATAAGACAGCCCAATAGCTACCATTGCCCAGGGTGATACTTTGGTAACAGGACTGATGGCTTGTATAACAATCTGACATGCTGATAGGAGTTGGGGAGTGGGGGCAGCCATTGGGAAGGGCAAAGGGAACCCTAAGAGTAGTTTTTTCTCCCTATTATGACTGGCTGTCTCTGAGTAGGTTTTGAAATAAAAGCTTCCATTTTTAAGAGAATTGATTGGTCATTGCGTAACGACAATTCTACGATATAACAGGACCATCCCAGTTAGTGCTTTGCCCTGTCACTTTGGAGGTCCATTAGCTCTTCCATTCAGTGAGGGTCCTCTATATCAAATGGTTCTCCAGTAAGTGCTCTGAGAGCAGCAGCTAATGATTCCCTGTGGTTGAAGCAAGTCAGAATGAAAATGGAGTTTTGGCACACATCCCTGAATTCCATCGACAGGAGGGAATGAAGGCTAAAATATCTATAAATCCAGGCCAGGCTGCAGAGTCACTGCAGATTCCCTGCAGAGTGGTGTTAATAACAAGGTGAAGAACCTTAGAAGAATTTGCAAGTTCATCAAAGAAGTGTTCATGGGAATGATTGCCATAGCCCAGACATAATTTAAGTAATTTGCAATAGCCATATTGATAACAGGTGGTCTACCGATTGCTTTTGACAAGAGGAAATGAAGAAAGTTATAATTATTCTTCCTCTCTGTGGACATAGCTTGTCATGATAGTCTTAGAAACTCGGAAAGCAAGCAAACCAACAACACAATGAATGTTATTTTGTAATTCCATGACACTTAAGCAGTGGTTTACCTCTTCTAATTCGACCTCTTTGTATTAAAATTAGTTGGCAGTTAGTACATTGCTTTGGATATGGATATTTAAGTATCATGCAAAAAAACAAAAAAGCACATTCAACCAACACATCATTTAGTTATTAGCCAAAGATTACTTTATTTTAATGTTTTCTTCTGTGATTGGAATTTAGTTATTAGCCAAAGATTACTTTATTTTAATGTTTTCTTCTGTGATTGGAATTTAGTTATTAGCCAAAGATTACCTTATTTTAATGTTTTCTTCTGTGATTAGTGGCTCTATCTGAAGCAGGAAATGGTGTTTTTTAAGGAGGTCATTATGACTTGGGTTTGCTTTTGTATCCAAGAATTGACACAAATTTGTTTATTTAAAATACCTTCCCTGTGTGAGTTGGGGTAAGACATACAAGAGGCAAATGTGAGTGTTCAAAGCTGAGAGACCTGAGTTCAAAGTCCTACTCAGCTTTCTACTAACTCTGATTTTTTGCAAGTCATTTAATCAGAACCTTCAATATTTAATTTTTTTAAGATAGTCTAATAGTTGCCCCAAAAGGCCAATGAAAGAATTGAAAGCAACATATAGAAAACTATGACTGTGAAATAGATACTATGTATATATATGATAGCTCTTTCCTCTCTCCTTTATGCTCATATTGAAGCCAAGGAAAAGCATATTTCAAGAATCCCGTGAGAGAAATTGTACCAGTATCATCTGCCTTATTTAATTAACAGGAGACTTCGGTTTAAAAGTGGGGAGGGGCATGCCAGAGAATTCCTGTCTACTGTATATTCTCAGGACTCAGAATTCCTATCGCTAATTTTAATACTTTGACAAATTAGCAATTTTCTATTATTTGTTACATTCTGCAAGCATTTCTTGATTTTTCCCTCATTGCTTTTCTTAACGACTCTTCATGGGTTTAAAGGAAATATTATTTTTCCTTTCCTACTTAATCAGCGTAACGGGCCATAATTGTGTCAATAACATGAAATTGTTGTCGATTTTGCAATTTTGTGACACAATACAATAGGCTGTTGACTTTTTTATTTTTTTATTTTTTTTGCAGAAAAGAAAAATACACTTTCATGTGAAAATGTACACACTGAAAATTATAGATTTTACTTGTGGAAAATATATGATTCAAGAAAAATGAAGTGATTTACTTTTTTCTTAATTCTTTCCCAAAATAGTTTTCTGAAAGTTTAGCTATCTGTATACTTCAGTGTTTAAAATATGTAGGCACTAAAATTCTTAATGGCATAAAATAAAAATAATCTGCTTTACGAAAGCCTACAGAAAATAATTTAAAAGGAACATTTTTTAAACGCAGGATATGTTAGCAGCGAATATGGAACCCAAGATAAGCAAGGCGTGTTCGACTCTACCTAGACAGTGTCAGATCTCTGGCAGTTAGTACATTGCTTTGGATATGTAGCTTTTAGCTGCTCTCCTTTGTAAGTTTTAAGACCAGGCTTGTTTATGTATAACTATTCAATGTCATACACACACGGAGACGTGCACACACTCTTTTTGTTTGCTCCCATGATGATTTATTTACCAGCTGTAAAATGGGGATGATGATAACTGTCCTTCCTGGCAGTCATTGGACCATAATATATGTGAATGTCAATTGGAAGTTGTAAAATGCCATATAAATGCAAGATATTGTAGCTATGCAAAACCTAAAATTACCTAATTGATTTTGGTCTGTCCCTTAACCCTTATAATGAGAGTGCTAGCAACTAAAACACCTTGAAAATTACTGGAGTGTTTTTATAGCCAATAGACTCCAGAATTTATATAGCACTTAGAACTTTATCAAACTTTCTTTGTACTAGTCTGATTATTTAAAGAAGATCTCACTATATAATGATGTCTTTAAAATATTTAATTTTAAAAAGATAAAAATCTTTTTAAAAGATAAATATTTTTTAAAGATAAATAAGAATATTTTTATTTCCTTGCAGACTCTTTAAAAAGTGTTGTCTTTTTGTCTTCTGTTTTTCCTAATAATTCTTATTTGGTCTGGCTGGTTGGATTCAATGCTCCACTGCTACTAGCAGACAAATTATACATATTCTTGACCGAACGTGGTGGCTCACGCTTGTAATCCCAGAACTTAGGAGGCTGAGGTGGGCAGATCACATGACCTTGGGAGTTCAAGACCAGCCTGGCCAACGTGGCAAAACCCAGTCTCCACTAAAAATACAAAATATTAGCCAGGTGTGGTGATGCATGCCTGTAATCTCAGCTACTTGGGAAGCTGAGGCACAAGAGTCACTTGAACCTAGAAGGTGGAACTTTCAAGGATGCAATAAGCCGAGATCATACCACTGCACTCCAGCCTAGGTGACAGAGTGAGACTCCATCTCTAAATAAATAAATAAGTAAATAAATAAATAAATAAAACATATTCTCTGTGATTCAGTTTTCTTATCTGTGAAGTGGGAAAAACAATATTACTACTTCCCAGGATTATTTGAGGCTTGATATAGGTAAAGTTGAGATGCCTGGTATTGAGTAAACACAGGGAATTTGGGGTAAGTCCAGTATAATATAGTAAGTTACAGGTATTGTTACTTTATCTGCACAGCTTTGTTGACAGGTCAGTGTACTTGTGTCAGAACTTCTTGATAGGTACTCAGAGTCTCCCAGCACAGTGAGTCTTGTGCAGAGAGTTCAATTTAGATCCACTAATGGGAATAAAAGAGAACAGGCACAGATACATTATTTAAAAACACAATAATACCAGATCGTGCACAAGAACACATTTTAGAATCAAGGATCATTGTAATTATTCAAGTAGTAAACTTAAAAGACAGGCAGAAATAGGAGGCCACCTTTTGTTAGGGGAATGCTCCCTTTTGACAGTTCCTGAAGAAAAAACATGGGAAAAACACTCCTTACCACCTACAGTTTAGGCCATTCCTGCTGTTGACCCTTCAGATGTGTCCCCGAACTGCCTCACCAGGCACCTGCTTCCTGCCTGAGAGTTTCACTATCTTGTGAGGGATGGGACAGTCTGGAAGCTTCTCCCATGCAGACAGAGCAGAGAGAGAATTATGCAATATTTTGTATCCCAGATAAAATTATATAGTTTAAGTGGATTATGGATTATTTCACCAAATTTATTTTAAAAATTAAGAACATATCCATAAATATTATTTTAGCCAGAGATGATCTATCAGTACAAATGTGAACAGTAACCTTGGTACCACAGGCCCCGCCGTGCAAGCTTCTTGGGTAAATATTTCAATAAAACCTTCTCAAAACAGGATAAAGATGGCTCAGCTGTTCTGTGGACTCTGCCGAGGCAATGAGGGAATTTGCCGTGTCCTTCTGTGGTCTGCCCATCTCTGGGGCTACTGAAAGGATTCTTCCTCCAACCTAAGTTTCACAGCATCAGGCAGCACTTCTGGGTTCCTGAGCATGCTATTTCTTTCCAAATCACTTTTGTCTGATCATCATTTACAAACATAAAAGATGGCTTAAGGGCCAAATCACAATTTTTATGCGTAAACCAAAATGTCAGTGTTTGTGTACCAGACTAGGGAGGCTGACACCAGGTTCTACATGCTTCGCCTCCCCACTAAACTCTCTCCTTTATTGTCCCAGTGGTTCAGGAATTCAAACTGCTTCAAAATAAGACATTTAAACTCTGGCTTTATGTACTCTACTTATTTTTAGAGATAGGTTCTTGCTCTATTGCTTAGGTTGCAGTGCACTGGTACAGTCATGGCTCACTGCAGCCTTGACCTCCTGGGCTCAAGTGATCCTCCTTCCTCAGCCTCCCAAGTCACTGGGACTACAAGTGCACACCATCATGCCTGGCTAATTTTTTAAAGTTTTTGTACTGGTGGGGTCTCAGTATGTGGCCCAGGCTGGTCACAAACTCCTGGCCACAAGTGATCCTCCTTCCTTGGCTTCCCAAAGTGCTGGGATTATAGGTGTAAACCACGGTGCCTGGCTTAGCTCCCAAAACTTTTCAGGCATAATGGGAAATTTTAATAACTTTCTCTGTAAAATAAGCATAATCCAAGGATGTTCCATGATGAGTATGACATATACTTGACCTAATTATAATTTGATTACACTCAAATTCATAGAAAAGCAAGACTATCATATACTATGTGGATTTTTCTTAATGTAACTTTCACCAGAATGTACAACCTCTGTATTGTTATCCCCACTTTGCAGAAATCAGCTGTGAGTTTCCTGAGTCACTCAGTGCTAGCAGGCTTTGGATGATAATGAAACGAGAGAGTTCCCTGACATATGACAGGGGTGTGGCTCACCTGTTTTTGGTCGTCCCCCAGCTGAAACCCCTGAAGGAGGGGAAGCATGCAGAAGGGCAGTGCAGAGGCGGGGGCAGGTGCTTTGGCTCCACAGTGGTGTCTGGAGGTGGATACCTGCAACCCTCCACGTTACAAAGCTCTTTCAGTTTTGCCATCTGCAGATGGCTTGAGTGTTAATCAGCTCAGTGGACCCTCTGCTTTATCGCAAGGGCAGGGGGCCAGTGTGACAGCCTTCTGTATCCCAAGCTCTTGCCCAGTGGCTCAGAAGAATTGGATCACATGCAGGCTGGAAGGATGAGTGCAAGGTTTTGTTGAGTGGTGGAGGTGGCTCTCAGCGAGATGATGAGGAGCTGAAAGTGGGGATGGAGTGGGAAGGTGATATTCCCCTGGAGTGGGGCTGCCCAGTGGCCAGCCTCCTCCAGTCACCCCCTGCTGAACTCCCCTCAGCATCCAGACATCCCTCCTCTTCTCTTTCTCTGCCGCGTCGTTCTGCCATTGCTGATCTGCTGGTCTGCCCTGGAGCTTGTGGTTCAGGGTTTATATGGGGGCAGGATAGGGGAATGGAAAGCCAAAAGGCAACTTTTTGGGCATGAAAACAGAAATGCCTATTCTTATTCAGGGATGCGGGCATCTAGGCTTAAAGGTGGGGCCTTTGCCAGGGAACCACCCTCTTCAACCCAGTATTTTCCCATTTCCTGTCCGTATCAATAAGGTAGAAGAGAGCGCCCTAAAACCCATTCTTTTCACTGTATCCCAACTCTGTGTCAGTGCACGTTAACATCCAACTACTCTTTTATTTCGTTACCTATGTACCTACGTATTACTTGAGAAAACTAAAAAATTGACAGAAGGGCCAAGCATTCCTTGTTTTATAGAAAAAAGCCAAAGACAGTGTTTCCAGAGTTTATCTCAGAGTAAATCTCTAAAAATATGTTTATTTTTTTAATGCTCACAGCGATTCTGGTGGCTTTATGAATATCAGGAAAATATTTCTACTAAAGGCAGCTTAAAATCCACCTTACAAACACACACACACACACACACACACACATTCACACACATGCATATACACACAGTCTGTTTACTAGGTATCTGGCATCATGCAAGACACTGAGGTTCAGTGGCAAATGAGACCAAAAGTTCCTTCTTGTCAATAACTTGCTATAAGAGCACTGGGAAGCCAACAGAATCTAGTGTGGAAGGGAACACAATGGGCAGATTCTGACCATACTGGGCAGTGAAGCTCATATTTGGGATTATAGGGAAACGCATTCTAGGCTGGTAAACTGAGGGAAAATATCTTCCTCAACTATATAAAATCCCTCATGCAAGTTTTATCAAATGAGAAATTAAGGATAAAGTGAAAGGAATAAAAAAGATGAGAGCATTACACCTGGTTTGGGGAATATGTTTTTAGAAATATACATGCCATATGTGAGGCTATAGAATGGCACTTTTTGTTCTATTTTATGTACACTCAGAAGTAAATGACAATTTAATACATTCTTTTATCATTCTGCCAATGTTTATTAAGCATTTTCAATGTTCCGAGTCCACTGTAAAGTGGTAAGAATATAGTGATGAATGTTCTCAGAAAAACTCATAAGAGAGGGGTTGAGTTGGATATTTTCTACTTCAATTCAATATGACAAGTTCTGTGATAGATATGAGCTATGCTCATATCTGTTTTGTGTTGCTGTAAAGGAATACCTGAGGCTGGGTAATTTATAAAGAAAAAAAAGGTTTCTTTGGCTCATGATTCTGATAGTTGGGAGGTTCATGATTGGGCATCTGCATTTGGTGAAGGTCTCAGGGTGCTTCCACTCCTGGAGGAAGGTGAAGGGGAGCATTATGTGCAGAGATCACACAAGGAAAGAGGGAACCAGTGGTGAGGTGCCAGGCTTTTTTCAACACACAGTTCTCTTGGGAACTAAAGAATGAGAGCGCACTCTCCTCTGAGGGAAGGCATCAATCTGTTAATGAGACATCTGCTCTCATGACTCAAATACCTCCCAATAGGCCCCTCCTCCCAACACCCCCACAATGGGGGTCTAATTTCAACATGAGAGTATGTGGGGACAAACAAACCATATCCAAATCATAGCACTCATATGTACATAGAAGATTCCAAAAATCAGTGCTCATGAAGCCAGGACGGGCTTCAGAGAGGAGATAACACATTAATTTGCATTTGGAAAGATAAGAGCCTTTTTATTTCTCATTTGGAAGCCTACTCTTGCTGGCCAACAAAGGCTTGGAGAGTTGAGCTGCTATTGGAGAAGTTTCTCTTTAAATCCAAGAGGGAGGGAAATTTCAAAATTACTTTAGATGCAATTAGAAGTAATCAGCTTCATGTCATAAATTTTTGATGCAATTGGTCCCTTCCTTTCTGGATTATTTTTTCTCTCATGTCCAGATGGTTCTCACAAACATATCAGAAGATGATGACATTTTTAATTTCTTTCACTCAAGCTCTGAATTTATCTGAATGGAAAGTATAGAGAAGAGTGCGATTCTTCAAGCCTAACAAGTATATCACACTGATTAAATTATGAAATTAAGATTTTTTAAATTCAAAATTAATGTATAACTTTTATCTACATATTTGAGATATTCACAAAGACAATTTTATTGTTCCAATCAAAAATTAATTGTATTAACATTTTATTATTCATGTATTTATTTATCCTGAGAGTCTTGCTGTGTTGCCCAGGCCAGAGTACAGTGGGGCAATTTTGGCTCACTGCAACCTCCACCTCCCTGGGTCAAGCAATTCTCCTGCCTCAGCCTCCCACCTAGCTGAGATTACAGGCATGCACCACCATGCTCAGCTAATTGTAGTATTTTTAGTAAAGACAGGGTTTCGCCATGTTGGCCAGGCTGGTCTCAAACTCCAGGCCTCAAGGGATCCACTCACCTTGGCCTCCCTAAGTGCTGGGATTACGGGCATGCGCCACCACACCTGGCCTGTATTAGCATTTTAGATGTAGGAAATGATTTTTCAGTTCTAAAATTTTCCTAAAGAATTAAACATATCCACTTAAGGATGCGTTGACCACTGATCATTGTTGAATAATGAAACTTTAGGGATACTTACTGGCACATTCAAGTGAAAATGTTCTACAATTCCCTAGGTAGTATTTCTTTTCTCTAACTGAGCTGCTGCGAGGCTCGCATAGGGTGAAAGTAAGGTAACTGTAAAGGATGTACCTTGTTATGGGTCAGGCAGCAGGTTACCATATTGGCACATATAGCAACACATGCATACAGCAGAGATCAGAGAAAGAAAGTTTGTAAGAATTCCTAAAACAGGATAGCTTTCTAGTTTCTCAAATACTGCTTTCTGATTTAAACAAATCCAAAATACAGTTATAGCTAACGTCAGAGAAAGGAGTTATTAATTCAGCTGTAGACCATTAAACAAACAGACCCCAGGCTTAGGGGCAGATGGGATGCTTGGAGATGTGGATGTGGAGAGACAAAGGCAATGCCAAGAGGCCAGTGTGCTTAGAGCCTGGCCTCCCTGGAGTCCTCTGACAGCAGGTGGATCCCAATGACCCTGTGCTCCTGAAGGGCAGAAATTCAATTAGGAACTCTCAACTTTCAGCTTTGAGGCTCAGGCTAGTGTATCAGTGGGTAGCTCCACTGCTGGAGGAAAAACATTCTGCAGCAGTTATGAAATAGAGGCTAATAATAGGACAAGGGAGAGTGAAAAACATGAGGTTGGAAAGCATTGGCAGAAAAGATGAGCTGATAAAGTATCTACTTTAAATAAGGTCATAATTTTGCCACAGTTTGGGGTGTTCTCCTGTGCTAATTTATAGTCACAATCAAAATCACATGGAAGCCTTATTTTCTTTGACAAGGTTTTATTTTCAGTGCACTAGAAAGCTCTTTCCTTTCTGCCTGGGTTAGCATATGTGAAAGAAATAGTGATTATTTTAATGATATTAAATAGTAGCTTTGATCTCTTCCCCCTACAAGCTAACCAAAACATTATCTGGATGTATGAAATGATTCCTTTGTGAGCAAAACCTCTGTATCTATTATAATGTTTTTGTTCATCTACCTGAATCTCCCACTAGGCTTTGAGTTCATCTGTGCTTCCGGAACCTACCACCTACTCAGGAAAGATAAACTGGATCAATGAAAAATACGCTAAATACCTACCACTCTCATTTTTTAGACGACAAATTTGAGGTGTTAAAAATGAGACAGAAATGTTAATATCAATCTTCTATTTCAAACCTACTAAGCCCAAGGCAAAAGCTTACACCCTTTCTACACTGCTTCATAATTGCCTACCTTGTGTTCATGTTAAATATGCAAAGAAACGTTGTATCCACATTTGATACATGACAAGAAGGAGACTCCCAGAGGGAAGGTCGCTTCCTCAAAGACGCCCACCAGTAGGTAGGAGGTCTGATCGCCAGTCTCAGTTCTGCCTGACTCTAAAGCTCTCGATCCTCCAATCTTGTCAAATTTGCTTTATTATAAGAATCACCAAAGGCCATGGTTATAAATATAGATTCTCAAGATCTTCCTCTGAAGATTCTAATTTAGGTATCAGCTGGGACCCAATAATCACGCATTCATTGTTGAGACCAATTTGGGAAACAGTGAATAAGACTAGTGTTTCTCAAACTCTAGTGAGTGTATGAATCCTGTGGGGATCAACTGCAGATTACGGTACAGTGGTAGGTCTGGGGTGGGGCCTGGGGTTCTATGTTTCCAACAAGGTCGCAAGTGATGACTGTGCTGTGGGTCCACAGCCGCACTTGAAGCAGTGAGGAACTAAGCCTTGCTGCTCAGCTCACAATAGGACCCTTATTCCCACCCTAGAGGTCCTTTAGTAATTCTGCCACTACCACACACCCTCCAACTCTGTGCAGCCCAGCAATTATGCCAGAGCAAGCTTTCCTGCATACCCTTGTAAACATGTTTGTGAAGCTTATGGAAACGTCTGTTTATCTGTATGAGTTACCCTGCTAGTTCACATACCTACCAAATAAGAATCTCTGGGCACCTGCGACACAACTTCATCCCATGCCCATCTCATCCACGATGGTTTTAAAAGCCAACTGTTTCCACAGGTTTCTATTATAACAGGGGGATTTTATAGATCACATTTGCTATTCACAGGTTTAGCCTGGACAACTGATATTTTTCCCAAACAGTAGAACTTTTAAGTTGGGGGAAAAATGTTCTCTGCAGCATTCAGATAAATGGATGAAGAAGCACTTCTTAGAGGTTGCCAATCATCACACCTCTGCAGGACTTAAGTTCATCTAGGATAACTCACCCGAGGCTTTAAAAAATTACTGATTTTTAGCTGGGTGCGGTGGCTCATGCCTGTAATCCCAGCACTTTGGGAGGCCGAGGCGGGCGGATCACGAGGTCAGGAGATGGAGACCATCCTGGCTAACACGGTAAAACCCCGTCTCTATTAAAAATACAAAAAATTAACCGGGCGTGGTGGCAGGTGCCTGTAGTCCCAGCTACCAGGGAGGCTGAGGCAGGAGAATGGCGTGAACCTGGGAGGCGGAGCTTGCAGTGAGCTGAGATCGTGCCACCGCACTCCAGCCTGGGCGACAGAGTGAGACTCCATCTCAAAAAAAAAAAAAAATTACTGATATTTTTTATAACTAGGAAAGCTGTAATGTGTAAACATGACAAAACGCCAAAACGCTAAGTGAATTTTACAATGGAACATGGACTTTTCAAAGGGACGATTCTGATTAGTGAAATCTGTTCTAAACCTCGGCTTTTCTGATTCCTAGCAGGGTGACCCTTGGTAATATCTTAGCTCCAGTGGACCTTAATTTCTTCATTGTGAAATGGCGTGATTGAACATAATTCCTAGGTCTCCTCGAATTCTAAATTCAGGTGAAGAAACAGGGTGATCCGTCGCAATTTCATCTGTTTCAGTATATGCGTTTATGACATTTGTATCAAAGAAAAGTGGAGACATTTCAGAAACAGCAAGTATTTCCTGAGAAAACATAGCTGTTCTATGTGTTGAAGCACAAAAGATAAAATGCCAAATTAAGAAGGGTGTGACTGTCAGGGGAAAGACGGCACACAGAAAACCTGTTAGTCCTTCATGCCAGTGCCTCACAGACTGGCTATCTACTCACCTGAGCAGCTTTTAAAAATCCATTCTGTTTCAGTAGGTCTGGGGTGGGGATGAAATTCTGCATTTCTAACAAGGGTCTGGGTTCCAGGGGTGTCGCTGAACGTGCGTCTGGCCTTATCTAGCAAGGCTTTACACCGGAGCTCTTCCACTTTAGCTGCAGAGTTGAACTGGCCAGATTCAACATTCAGATAGCCCGAACACATGCAGAGCAAACAAATTTGGATCTCTGTAAGTGGGACTAAGGCATTTGTCTTTTAAAGCTGCCTAAGTGATTTCCATGGGTAGCCCTGGTTGAGAATCCCTGCTCTACTCTTCTGCCACAGGCCTCCACTGGGGCTTCCCAGGTCCTTGAAACTTTGGGTTTCGTTTATTTATGAACACATTTATCACAATGGTAGAATACAAAATAGGTATTTCACCCTCACTTTACCATAACCAGTAGAGTGAAACCGACTGTGCCAAGAGATCATGCTATTTATCTGGTGGGGTCCTTTACACACTCACAGAATTTTCCAGAGGTGGTCCTTATGAAGCAGACTGACTTTTTATTCTGCTCCCCAAGCACCAATGCTACCACTAACACCGCTTGTGGCATATTTCCCCATGGCTACATGGGTCTCCATAATTGTCACCTTCAAGTTACCTGTTACCATGCTGGTCACCATACCCATGTTTAGTAAGGTTTTCCATGGCTGCATGTTTACAAGCTTTCTGATCATCTTTCCCTTTTCCTTCTCATCCTCACTCTTTTCATTCTCCCTCTTCCTTCTATGCATATTCATTGAGTACCTGCTCTCTGTCTAGCCTATGCTAGGTGCTTCATTGCAATCTGTACATGGATGAAGTACTTATCTTCTACTGCTTCTTTGGAATTGAATACTAAGAGTGAAATTACTTGGTCCAGGAACATGAATATGTTCATGACTCTTAACCCAAATCTCTCTTGCCTGCATTCGGTAAGCTTCTATTTGCTGATTGAATATGTGTAAGCTTGCCCCTCCTTATTATTTAATGCTTATGTCTTTGATTGATGTATATTTTTTATATTCTTTATTTGGCTGTAATGTGAATTTAAATTTTACTTTTTTCTTTAATAGTGAATGCTTTAAAGGCAATGAGAAACCAATAAAGAATATTAAGCGATCGAATAACTTGCTCATTTTATGCATGTGTCATATATTTTCATCTTCAGAAGCTACCAGTTCATTCTCTGTATAGGCAGGGACAACAAGGATGCCTCGCAGTAAATATTCTTTGATTTCACCAGAGCCTCTTAGCTTTGCAAATATGAGACATACATGCATCATGGTCCTGCAGGATGAGGGTAAGTAATCTGAGAGAAAGAGAGAGAGAGGTGTATGTGTGTGTGTGCGCGTGTGTGTGTGTGTGTGTGTGTGCGCGAGCGCACATGCGTGAGTTCATCAGCCTGCCCGACAAGGGATAACGTAACATAATACTCAAGTTCTGGGAGGGTAGAGACCAAGACTCTAAACCGTGTCCTTCCAAATTCAAAGCCAACAGGACTTGTTTGAGAAGAGCAGTGACCTTATTGAGATCAATGGCAGGAAGGGACACCAAGAGCACAAAGGGGAAATGACTAGGAGACCAGGAAGGAGTCAGATGGTGACCCAGGCTTAAATCTAAACCTAGAGAACAGTCATGGTGTGTCTGTATTGTCACATGGTGAAAGTGAATCAGGCTTTCCTGGCTTCCCTGCTTTGGGCTTTTGAGGGTGTGTCGTATAATCCTGGGAGGCTGGGATTTCTGCAAATAACGTTTACAAATCAGGTTGGATTGGGATTTTTGGAGGATTACCACTTCTGTCACTGGTGCCACCTTGTGGCAAATGCTACAGTAAAAACTTGCTGTAGTGTAACCGATAGAATTTGACCATCATTTCTTTTACTAGGCGTTTGGGCTAGGAAGTGAGAACAAATCTAATATTTGGATAACCAGTGAAGGGGAAATCTTGAGCTTTCAGTCACTAAGGATAGGTGGAGGTTTTAGAACTCTCTTAAATTATTTATACAGGATTGTTTCGTTTGTTTTTTCTTACTTGTTCAGGGAGATCTGAATAGTTGTAGGGGAGAGAATGAATTGGAGGAGTTTCTACCTAAATGTTAAACCTCCTCCACACTCCCCAACATCAACCTGGAAAAGTTACAGAGGGAAAGCATTAAGACATGGAAAACATTCTGAGAAACTCCAGTGAAATACGTCTGTGGGAGACAGGAACTGTTGTGAACTTGGAGTACGTGTGATTTGAAGCCTAGAGCAGGAGGCAGCTCATGGGGCTCTGGAGCTCTGGCTCTAAGCCAGCAAAGACTGATTCACTTTCACCATGTGGCAATGCAGAAGCAGCTGGGTTGTTCTCCAAGTTGTAGATTTAAGCCTGGATCCCTGTAACTTAGGGAAAGAGTTGATGGAATTTTCTTTCTTTGCTTCTTTCCTTCCTTCCTTCCCTCCATTCCTCCCTCCCTCTCTTCTCTTCTACTCTCTTCTCTTTTTTCTTTTCTTTTCTTTCTTTTTGACAGAGTTTTGCTCTGTTGCCCAGGCTGGAGTGCGGTGGTGCGATCTTGGCTCACTGCAACCTCCACCTCCTGGGTTCAAGCGATTCTCCTGTCTCAGCCTCCCAAGTAGCTGGGATTACAGGTGTGTGCCACCACACCTGGCTAATTTTTGTATTTTTTATAGAGACGGGGTTTCATCATATTGGTCAGGCTGGTCTCAAACTCCAGACCTCAGGTGATCCACCCACCTCGGCCTCCCAAAGTGCTGGGATTACAGGCATGAGCCGCCGCGCCTGGCTGCTGATGGAATTTTCTCTTGCTTCTCTCCTTCTATGGCCTGGTGTGCTATATCACTCACACTAGGGAGGCTCAGACTATAAGGATAAGAGCACTAGAAGATCTGAGTAGTATTCGTGGATGGAGAGCAGAGGGGACACAGGTGGGAGCTAATTGGGCGCAGGCAGCCATTTCCCCATCCTTCTTTCTCCAAATCCTGATAAGTGATGGACTGCACCCAAAGGAGTGTTTCTTCCTCAGGATGTTCCCCCTGGGAGATTGAACATGAAGCCTGGACCTAAGAAATGGTTTGGTAGTGTTGAGAGGGGTTAACTGTGGCTTCCTGGCACCTGTGACTCTCACTTCAAGCTCATCCCATTTCCACTCTAACACCGTAGGAGGACTGCAAGTCTAACGAAGTCTAGCCATGGCCCCTTTTACATTTTCATTGCCTGAAAAATTAGCCAACGCTTGGGGGGAAATGAGCTTCACAGGCCCAAATAATGACAGAGGAGCAGCACTATTTCAAAAGAACATGAATTAGAGAAAATCTTTAGACCAAGGAAAGGAAACAGAGACAATGATCTAAAGAAGCGAGAATTGAAAGAGAGAATACTAGATAGATTTGAAAAAGATAATCCACAGTAAAATGGGTGCGATAATAACAATCCTTGCTTTACTGGACTATTATGAGGATTAAATGAATTGATATATGCGGTGCATAGGCTATAAAGTGTTTAAACATGGAGTATAATAAATATTCACTCTTATGAAATTTTATATTTTGACTCAAATGTAGAATTTGGGGAAGAAGGACTCTGGTTTAATATATTGAGTGTGAAGTTCTAATTGGACATTAGTATCTTTGTATATATGTATATTACATTTGAAGCTCAATGTAAACTGGGCCAGAAGTATAAAACCAGTGGTTTGGCATAAACTGTCTCTGACATTGTAGGAGAAAACTTCAAGTGGAATGGAAGCCTTAACAGTGATGTTTGTAGGGCATAAAAAAAAAGGTTTCCTGAAGAAAGGTAGGCAGATTCAACAAAATGAACAATCCAAAAAAAAAAAAAAAGAAAAAAAGGAAAAACAAAAAAGCCACAAATTCAACTACTTTTATAATATTCTCAAATGCAATTTTATAATATTCAATATTAAATTGTGTGAAATAGGAGAGCAAAAGTTTTGTTGCCATTCCTCAATCCTCCTCACCAAGGTTTAACCACAGTTTGTTGGATATTTACCCTCAGTTCTTTTTTTATGTCTAAAAAAAAGACATGTTTTACTCAGTGTACATGTGGAGCTTTTTACTTATGGCTTCAGGGATCTAACTCATTTCTTAAAATGACTATGTTGCATTCCAAGGATGAAAATACACACTATTTCTAACTATTTTTCTATAGACAAGCAGATCAGATTTTTTTTGCAATTAACGCTGTAGTAAAACTTTTAAAAATACGTATTACTCTTGAGTTATTGGAACTTATTCACAAAAAAGGTAATTAAGTTCCAGTTAACCAGTATGTATAGATTCTATAATCTGCCCAGAAACATGCTAAGTACTGTATATAAAGCATCATTGTGAAAGATAAAGGCAGTGAGTATTTTAAGAAGAAGGAGTGATTAGCAATGTCAAACGCAGCAATCCAGTAGAAATACCCATGGATTTAGCAAGAAGTCAATTGAGATAAAAATAAGAGCTATTTGAATTGTACTATGTAGTAAGATGGCAGATTTCAATTAGTTAAGGTGTCATTAGAGATGGGAAAGTATAGAAATGAGTACAGATTAACACTGAAACAAATTATCTTCATATACCTATTTGACGGGAAAAACATATTTTTGAGGGATTCTAGTAGAAGTGTACATTGGTATAACAACTTTGGAAAACAGTTTGTTATTACCACCAGTCACATTGCACATGTACCTACACTGTAACTAATCACTTCCTCTCCCAGAGAAATTCTTAATATTAACACTCCAGAAGACATGGACAAGAATTCCTAGAATAAATTTTGTAATAACCCCTAATGGAAACAGCCAGATTTTCATTAATAGTAGAATGGCAGCGGATTACATTCATACAATGGAATGCCATCCAGCAATGCTAATACCTACAGGTAACCACATGGATGAACCACAGAGGTATAATATTAAATGCAAAAAGCAAGATTTGTAAGAAGATGCAGTATGATTTCTGTTAGACAAAGTTAAAAGGCAAGCAGACAAAATGGAATATTGTAAAATAATAAATAGCAGCAAGGGAACCGTCATCAAAAAAGGCAGGTTAATAGTTGGTGTTTTGGGGGAAGGAAGAAGATTCCATCAATTAAAGATGCATAGAGGGCTCCTGAATCCAGCATGTTTCATTTTCTGACACAGCGGTTTTTGTATGTAATGGTGATGTTAATGATGATAATGATTAAAGATCTTCTTTAAGAATGGAATATGTTGTAATGGAAAACGACAACATTACAGAGATAACAATAACTAACATCTATTGATCCTTTTGTATTCTGGACACTATTCTGAATGCTTATTTAATCCTTATAAAAATCCTTTAAGATAAACATAGCTATCATACCCCATTTTATAGTAGAAGAAGCTGAGATACAAAGCAGTTAAGTAACTCGTCCAAGCGGCAGAGCAAGAAGGCGATCAGCCTCCAGAGCTTAGATTCTCAACAACGTGTACAAGATTACCTCTGAAAGACTGAAAAGCTATTTCATTTGTGCTTTGATTTTTATATCTAGGTAACTTTGTAGTCAATATTTTACTCTATTTGTGAGATTTATATCTTAATAAACTTTTCTCATATTTTATTTTATCACTTATGCTTCATGGGTTGGGAGACTTTATCACACTAAATGAGACACCTTTGAGAGTAAGATGCTATAAACAATACTCTTGGAAAACAAGCATAAGCTGGGACTGTCCTGGACAAACTGGAACACATGGTCACCTTTCATAGCAAGAAGGTGATAATGCAGCAAGGCCACTACTGATGAATTCTTTCCTTTCTTGTGTTAACGTGTTGCTTATCACGTGAGTTTTTGTATGTGTGTGTACTTATGAACATTCTCTTTAGTTTGGTTTAAACCATATTTGCTCTTTTATGCCATTTCATATTGCTTTAATTAACTTTACTTTTAGGAGATTTTAATTCCTAGCAGTATAAGTTCTTTTTCTTCACTGTTACACTTTATCCAAATATAATTTGATAATTTAAAAATTTTTAAAAACATATTTTCCTGTTTTATAATTGTTTTATTTGTATTACCTTTATAGAAATACAATTTTATTATGTTTATAGAGTGCACATGGAAAAGAAAAATTTGCAGCCCATGGGATCATTACTATTAATTGCTTTGCCTTCCAGTCTTGGCCAGAAATATTCATCTTTATAATATTTCATTTTATCCTTCTCATATGTAGTATTTCTGTGCATTTATTCAAATGTTTTTATAATACTTCCTTTAGTAGCTTATAGGTTTTTATGGACTCATTCAAATCCCTTAATAATTATTTTATCAGGAATCTTCTCATTGCTTAACTAGTATGTGATAACTAGTTAAGCACAAATTTGTGTTTTATAATGATAAAGGAAAGGCACAAATTTTTGTATTTTTATTTATATCTAGTTACCTTATGTACTAAACATTTTTGTTAGGTAGATTTTGAATTGTCTGCCTTTTGCAGGCCTGTAATCCTGCAATATAAAAATAGTGCATCTTTGTTTCATAGACTTTTGTTAATTTTTTAAAAATCCAGTTCTCACATACTATTTTATTGATCCAGCAGTCGAAACCGATATTAAATATGTTAAAGCTTATTAAAGGTCCCATTATTGTATATAAGACTGTAAAGTAGTTATCTGTACATTTTATACATAATGCATATGTATAAATATATTTTAGGCATAGACATAAATTTCTGCATAGTCCTTTTTATCAAAACCCATTCAATGGAGTACTTTATTCTCATTAAGCTATTCATATGGTGTATTAAACTAATAGTTTTGCCTGTATAGAAATATTCTTGAATTCATAGGATGAATTTAATCCTACTGCTTAATTGCAACCTCTAATAATGTACTTAAGACTTTAATTTAATATTCATTAGTGAGATTGGCCTGGCCTAATTCTTATTAAAGCTTTATTACATTAGATATCAGTTGGCTTTTATTTCACGGAATACCTTCAAAAAGGCCTTCATTTATTCATTACATATTCTGGCAATTTGTGTAACACTGGTATTAAAGTTTGTTTATATTTTAAATGAATTTTCCAATAAATGAATCCACCATATTTGTTTTCGGTAGGGTAATTTTTTGACAGCTTCCCAATTCTCATCTCTGCTAACATTTTTCTTTTCTATAATTCAGGACTGCATTGTACATTTATGTAATTTTTTTCATAAAATCAAAATTTGTTTATATCTTCTCTCTCTTAAATGTTTAAGATTTTCTGTCCCCAAATGAGTGCATTTAGTAGGCTGTTGCACATACTATCAGAAATTCCATGAATTCATACCTAAATTTATTTACTTATTTAAACAATTTATGTTTTTCCTTTTTTAAAAAAAACACATTTTCTTTAGCATTGACTCATTTTTGTGTAATTTTTGGTTAAATTAGGTTACATGTTTTGTTTGCTTTTACATTTTTAATAATGAAAGTACTTAACACCATGATTGTTTTTGCTGAGTGTGTATAATTGCTTAGTTGGTTGTTTTAATAGAATTGTTACTATGTTTTTATTTATTTTCTCCTTCACTCAATTGTTATTTGGTAAAGAGATTAAAAATATAAAAGAGGGGATTACTATTTAAATTTTTATCTCAAAGTTTATGTTACAGTAATCTGACATTGTGATCTGTAAGCATAGAGACTGCATTTATACATCTCTACAGCTAAATTTACTGATTTTAGAATGAGGAAGAATTTTCACAATGGTTAAATAAATGATAATTTTTCTAAATGTTTTATTAAAAACTCAATGTTCACAGATACAAAATTCAAACTCTTACTATTTAATTATCCTGGTTAAATATGTTTCTCATTCTTTTATGTCTTTTTATTTTTATCAAGTGGATGTGTTTATGATAATTTATCTTCTCCTATACTTAAATATTTTAAAAACAATTTTACTGCATCACTAAACATTAATCTGCTATTCCTTTCAAATGAAACCTTTTTGACAGATAATTTTGAATATAATTTTATCACTTTTTAAACTGTCATTATTAATTCACTTAATACCTTAATACCATTATATTAATATTGACAAACTTATTTAATTTTATTCACATTTGAGTCATCTGATTTTTTTCTCCATTTGAAAAATGTCTTTAAGTTGTTTGGGTTTTTCTTTTTCTCTAAATGCAAAACTTGAAACTATAAAACTTTATTTTAGTTTTTTTTTATTTTCAACTTTTATTGTAAATTCAGAGGTACATGTGCAGGATGTTACATAGGTAAAAATGTTACATATGTAAAAATGTGCCATGGTGGTTTGCTGCACAGATCATCCCGTCACCCAGAATCCATTAGCTATTCTTCCTGATCCTCTTGATCCTCCCAACCCCCACCCTCTGACAGGCCCAAGTGTGTGTTATTCCCCTCATGTGTCCATGTGTTATTATCATTTAGTTCCCACTTATAAGTTAGAATATGCAGTATTTGGTTTTCTGTTTCTGCATTCGTCTGCTAAGGGTAATGGCCTCCAGTTGCACACATGTCCCTGCAGAGAAAATGATCTCATTCCTTTTTATGGCTGTATAGTATTCCATGGTGTATATGTGCCACATTTTCTTTATATAGTCTATCATTGATGGTCATTTAGGTTGATTCCATGTGTTTGTTATTGTGAGTAGTGATGCCATGAAAATACACATGCTTGTGTCTTTATAATAGAAAGATTTATATTCCTTTGGGTATATACCCAGTAATGGGATTGTGGGTTGAATGATATTTCTGCCTCTAGGTCTTTGAGGAATTGCCATACTGTCTTCCACAATGGTTGAACTAATTTACACTCCCACCAACAGTGTAAAAACATTAATTTTTCTCCACAACCTCGCCAACATCTGTTGTTTTTTGCCTTCTTAATAAAACCATTCTCCAGCATCTGTTGTTTTTGCCTTTTTAATAAAACCATTCTAACTGGTATGAAATGGTATCTCATTGTGATTTGATTTGCATTTCTTTAATGATCAGTGATGTTGAGCTTTTTATTTATGTTTGTTGGCCACATGTATGTCTTCTTTTGCGAAATGTCTGTTCATGTCCTTTGCCCACATTTTAAAGGGGTTATTTTTTTCTTGCTAATTTGTTAAGTTTTTTATAGATATTGTACGTTAGATCTTTGTCACATGCATACTTTGCAAAGTTTTCTCCCGTTCTGTTTCTGTAGGTTGTTTGTTTACATTGTTGATAGCTTCTTTTGCTGTGCAGAAGCTCTTTAGTTTTTTCATTATATATTTAGATTTATTGACTGTATTTATTATACCTATTTTCTTCTCAGACAATCAAGAATAACAATAATAGCTACAAAGTTCTCTTGGAGGAAAGATATAAAAAATACTTCTTGAGCAAATATTGTGCCATTAATATGCAAAGTGTATAGAATGATATTCACTGGTAGGCAGGTCTCAAATGGTGTGGAGCAAGCACCTTTTCCAAAACATTTCTCATGGTTTTTCTTCTTCACTGAGATTGAATTAGATTAAGCGTAATTAAAAATGGAGAGACTCTATACAAGGAATAAGGAGGGCAATATTTTATAGGTAAGTATGCGAGAGTATATGAAATTGGGGATTTTTGCTATAAAGAGGGGATTGTTGCTATAGACAGTAAATTGATATGATTTTAGATACAATTATAGGATACAAATTTTGTTTACAAATATTTAGTAAGGTGTGTTTATAAAATGGGTTGTCCTGCTGAAAATTGTAAAGGGGCAAGAGGTATAGTGAAAAAGAAAAATAAAGGCAAAAGCCAAGCATAATGTTTTAGCTATTAAACCACATTTCTGCTTTTCATGTTGTCTTAAAGTGAGCATATATTCATTCTTGCAATTAGGAGTATTTGATTGTAAAACTGCTAAATACAAAAAAATAAAACAGATAAATATAGAGTAATGCTAGCAAGTAGTAATTCAGTTGAAGGAAAAAAAATCACATCAGTGAAATCACTTTTCCATGAGGCTTTTCCATCAAATATAAATTTTTATATAGTTTAAGCACATTTGTTTACTTTTATTCCTCATTATTCTACCCTCTCTGGTCTAGAATAAGTCTAACATGGGCATTTTTAAAAGGCCATACATATTTAAACGAAAATGAAAAGATTAATAACTGTGCAAGTATTGAAACTTTAATTATATAAATTCTCAGGCATGAAAGTGTTCTTTGGCATTTGGCTGTATGTACCATTACTTGTAATATGGCTCCTTATTAAAAGTCTTTTTTATGCAAGAAGATAAATAATACAAACATCAACAATAGAGTGGCATGGGTTTATTTAGATATTAAACTGTTAATTATGTATTTGTCAAAAATCATAAATCAGGACAAGTTGAGCTGGAGAATGAAATATTCAGCCTAGGTCTCATTGTCATCATAAATTCCTAATTTTGGTTTAAATTAAGGTATGGACAAGAGTCTTCATAGAAACATTTTCAACTCTTCTCTTCTTATTCCTTTCTCATTTTCTCTAAAGAAATCTTATCGAACATTTAATCTCAAAGGTCATGAAAAAGTATGATTGACCCATATTGAAGATATTTTTACTACTTTCCTTTATACTCGGAAAGATCCACTTTTTCAGAGACACATTAAAAATAACTACCCACTAATATGTCTTATCAAATTACTTCTTGGAGGCTGTTATTCTAAACACAGGAGTTAGTTCAGTCTTGGCAGGTTTTCTTTTTCTCTTCTTTTTATTTATTTATTTATTTATTTTTGAGATGGAGGCCTGCTCTGTCGCCCAGGCTGGAGTGCAGTGGCATGATCTCAGCTCACTGCAACCTCCTCCTCCCGGGTTCAAGCTATTCTCCTGCCTCAGCCTCTGGAGTAGCTGGGTTTACAGGCACACAGTAACACGCCCAGCTAATTTTTGTATTTTTAGTAGATATGGGATCTCACCATGTTGGCCAGGTTGGTCTCGAACTCCTGACTTCAAGTGATCTGCCCGCCTTGGCCTCACAAAGTGCTGGGATTATAGGCGTAAGCCACCGCACCCAGCCTTGACAGGCTTTTCCAATACACCATGTCATATTTCATTTTTGCCAATTATGTTACATGCTTTAGCTTTATTTTATTTTTTTCTTTTTCTTATGGAAAATGGAAACAGAACTGCTTTTACTTTTAAACTTATATTGGCTTGTTTTAACTCCTCTTATGTTTTATCATAAAACACTCAAAATATATATGCTTTTAATTCCAATCCGCTCATTGTCTTAAATTGTATTTTCAAGGAAAGAATGGAATGCACACAACTGCTTTGATTGTCATTTCTATTTCCAGTTACTCATGTAATGGCACTGCCAGGCTGGTTGGTTGGCATTGTCTTAGGTGACGCATGGACCATTTCCCCTGTCTTCCAGCTGTGGGCGTTATAACATTCTTGTTTTTCAGAATGCCAGTGAATGTACCCTAACAAACAAGAAAAGGAAAGACTGACCAAATCTGAACATTTTTTAGCTGGAAAACATGTAAATTTAATACTTTTAATAGATGAACCCTCATGTTAGCATGCAAATTAGCTGTTCCTACCAAGTCAATTGGAATGTGACAGTTAATTCTATACATGCATCAGCAATGACCTCAGAATTGGCTGTCCATCAACTTCCATGGCTATGAACTCACCCACCATCTTTGTTCTAGAAAGACTTTCCATTAAAAATGTAAGTTCATGATTAAATCAAAATAAGATAAGGGGATTATTTTAACATTAATATAACACCAGAAATTACATTTGTTTCTGTGGAGGAATGCTCTGTTTGCTTTGGAAAGAATGCAGATCCTTTTCATTTATACAGAGATAATATATATTTTTAACCTGTCAGAATGGCAAAGAACAAAGTTGGATAGCATGTTGTTGATGAGCAGGTGGGAGCATACATATATGTATAAGTATAAATTGCTACAATGAAGGGCAATCTGTTTCTAAATTAGAAAAGTACTGATCCTGTGACCCAGAAATTTCATTTCTAAGATTAGATCTTACATATATCCTAGTATCATAAAAATGATTCCACAACACAATTACTCATCACTTCACTGAAACAACAAAATATTGGCAACAATTGCTCATCAACAAGAGATTCATTAAAAAACATTATGGGACTCTCATGTGGGATATAATAATGTGCTGTAAAAAGGGAATAAGAAAGTTTTTTTATGAACAAATGTGGACCCATTTGCTGAGATTATTTTAAATCAAAGGAAACCAAGGTAAAATGTAACTATTTACGTAAAAAGAGAATGTATTTGCTTGTGTATGGATTTTATATATGAATGATATCTCTAAAATTACATCTGAGAAACTAGAAGTATTGGTGACTAGTGGAGAAGGAAAATAGGTGGCTGTGATCAAGATGTGAGACAGGTAATTTGCTATAGAACCCTGGATTTCCCTTTAAAAATAATAAAATTAATTTAAGATCATGTAATATGGTAAATATTTGGACTGCTGATACTTCTTTAAAAATCAGTAAACTTTGAATTGTGTACATTTATAACAAACATCCTGGCCTCTAAATATGTGAAGAAGTGCAGAAATCATATCAGTGGTAAAAAAGGAATTAGTACAAGATTTCATCTTAGAGCATCCAGACTCTAAATTGATAGATATGTAAGAATGAAAGTTTATTTAAAGTGGAATAATGTATACCTCTTCCTGTGTCCCCAAGATGGCATCATCTTTCTAACATTGATTCAGCTTGGGCTTGAGTGTCTGAGCTGTGTCTCACAAACTAAGCTCTCCATACCATCGGCATCAAAGTCATTTGCTGGAGTGTGTTAAAATAAATATTTTCGAATTCTATCCCATACCTGCCGAGTCAGTGGGCCTTGGAAAGGAGCCCGGGAATCTGCATTTTACAAAAGATCCTCAGGTTAGTCTTAAACCAAGATTCTAGAACCACTGTTGTAAAGCCTGGGGAATAGAGAGGAGAAAATACTAGAACTACTCATTAACTGGTTAGCACATGATGGCATCTTCTTACAAACCTTTGTGTGCATTCACCCCCCTAACCACAAAGCAAAATGAGCATCAGAACCTTCATTTAAAGACAGGAAAATTAAGTATTTGTCTTTGTGTAATTAAGTGACTTGCCACAGGTGACAGAGCGAGAGAATGCAAATCAGAATTCAACTCGCAAATTTCTGCTTTGTCCATGCTGACAGGAATAGCATCATTGTAAATAAAAATCACTGTGTTAGTGTAACTTTGAAAAGTCAATCCCTCAGTAAACCTTGCTCTGCAGTGGAAGGTCATGCCTTTCTCAGCCTTTCACTACCTAGGATTCACAGGAGATCAAATACTTTGCTAAAAAGAGATTTTCTTATTTTACTTCACATTCTCATATCTTTATGCATTACTCTCATTTATTCTTCAGAGAACATTCTGCTCAGATTAACTTCTGTAAGCAACAAGTATCCCACATATATTTTCAACGGCCAGCTAGCTATTCTTAACAGGAAGAAAAAAATACAAACATTGGTGTGTACTTTTTATATGGCAGTAGACAAACGAGGGTAACTGGTGAATATATAAGTTAATATTCTGAATTAATAAAATGAAGACACATTTTGAAATCAACATTACAGGTAATATCCAATAAATAGCTTTATACATATACACACACTCATACATGTATATATGGGTAGTTTCTGGACTTAAAATAGATTCAAAAAAGTTTCCATTATGTACCAGAACAATAGCTGGTCTTAGGGAGATGAGAACACATGTAGAGTCTGACTTTATGAAGTCATTGACATTAACACGTATGATAACTCTCAATTGTGAAAGTTAATTCTGTCAGAAATGCTGTGTGACAGGCCTATTAGAGCGGCTACTTGGGCCATTTATTGTACTGTGGCCTATTTCCGACAAGTCAGATAAACCATGGTTTGAATCTCCACTCAGTCAAAACTGCAGCTAGTCACTTAACCACACTGGTGTTCAATTTACTGTCTGTGTAGTGAATTGAACATACCTACCTCAATGCGTTTTTATGGGAATAAAACAAGAGTACAAACCTATCTGTCCACTAGTGGTATTTTTTACCTTAAGTCACATTCCTTCACCACTAATAGTGGTTAAGTTTTCTGACTCTCAGTGATCCATTTTCAAAAGGCCATCTCTGAAATTTTTGCCTCTACTTTCTTTAATGGCATTTCCCTATGTCACTGCTTAGGTGATATGATTTAGGGGAAAGCCATATTTTACTTGAGTTAAAGTCAAGTTTGTTTGTGTTTTTTTGTGGGGGGGCTGGGGTGGATTGTTCTCAAAATGATTTACTGACATTCTCCAGCATAAGTTTTAGGTGAAAGAGTATTCTCAGGTGGGAAATTTGAGTAAATCTTGAGGAAGAAGTATATTCTTTACAAATCATTTAGGGAAAATTCTCTTTAAATAGGGGGACCTACTTATGCATCTGATTTGCCCGTGACACTCATTGTTTACACTTTCACACCTACATAATTATTAATAATGCTCTTTTACTTTCAAAAATGTGTAGTTTGAATAAGGTGTATGAACCACCTAATTGAAGAAAGTTACTTGTCTTAACCTAGAGGTTAGCTAGCTAGCATCAAGAGTTTAGGGGACCAAAAATGGTAACTCTCTAGGAAATAAAAAGAGGAATTCATCTACTTCTCTGCAGAAGAGGACTGGTAAATGGACTAACTTTGCATTCAGGTTGTAATTAGACAAAACAGAAAGTGTGATCAATAATGCAAGTGCATAGTGGCAGAAGAGAGCATGGTGAAGTGAGCCTGTAGACACACTTGTGCAATATGGGGACAGCTCTGATGTGGCCTGGGCTGTGGAATTCAGTTTAGGGGGAAGTGGGTTGGGAGTAGTGGTAAAGATGAAGTGAGTGGATTGGGCCCTGGCTTCCGGATTACAAATGTACTTTTGGAAAAACAAGATTTTGAATAGTGTGGGTGTCTATGTAATTACTAAACAAGGACATTTTTTAGCTTTTGGCTCAAGTGACAAAGATTTTCCTTTCAAAAGCATTTTGCCAGATTGAAATCTAAACATAAACGTATGACAACATTGCTACCGGTAGCTAATTCAGTGATTCAACATGTCTGTTTATCAAACACTTGAGAGCACTTTCAAAGAGCCCTGGTTTGGGTATGAGGTAGAGTTTTGTGAGGCTTCTTTTAAAGCCTCTCTGTCTGAGAAGGAATATGCTACTTTTCATACCACCTTGCCAGAAAGGAAGGCCCAGAACAGAAAGAACACAAAAGAGGTATAAGGGGTTAAGGGAACCTGGAAAAACCTTTGAAAAGTAAATTATCAGTTTAGAAATGCTCTTTAAATGTCAACAAAGAGTCAGCAGGCAGTGTGTCAGCTCTGCACCTGGCCACATTTCCTATCCTCTGTTGCAACTTAGTGAAGCTACGTGGCCAAACTAGAGCCAACGGAACATAAGTGGGAGTGATATATGTAATTTGGGGGCATTTTCCACATAAAATAAAAGCTCTTTGCCATGGAATCCCTTTGTCTTTCCCCTTCCCATGTGTGGTCACAGGAATGACTATGACCCACCTTCCAATCATGCAGATGAGGATAATGCCCAAGGGGATAAACTTTTGGGGAAAAAATGAGTCCACTCACCAATCCATATTTAAAGACTTATATGTGTGGAAGAAATAAGCTTTTGTGTGTTTTTTAGTCACTCTCCTTCAGTCTCTATACTACAGCAGTTGAAATAGACCTTACATAATACACACCCTTTCTAGGTACCTACAGGTCTTCTGCAAAAGCAGCCATACAATCTTCAGATTGTGACCAAGTTGCTTTTAAAATTCTCATCCAGGTTGCCTCTTTTTTCTCTCTCTTGGTTGTAGCAATTCTCATCAGTAGTGCTGCCAAAGTTGAATCCTCTTTCGAGCACATGCAAAAAAAAAAAAAAAAACAAAAAAAAAACCCACGAAACTAGGAAAAGCATTAGAATTGCCCCATGTGAATTCCACTCACATTTCAAAGCCAATACATGTAAAAGATTAAATGAAAATATCCCATCTACTGTTATCACACTCTGCTGTCTTCACCAATGTGAACTGAGAATAAGAGATGGCAGCTTTTCAATGTATTGCCTAGATTCCTCTGGCTTGTAGTGCTCCCGTCATTTCTATTTCCTACCATGCTTCTGTGATAAAGCGAGAAATAATATGCCAAAATGCCACTAGCATTCAATACAGGGTATGCTGTCCTCTACAATTAGCATATTTTTTTCTGATAGACCAAGTGTTTAGGATGCAATGATTTATAGGTCCAGGAAATATATAGACAGTTGCTTGGATGAAAGAAGGGTATGTAGGAAGTTGACTTTGTGTACTAATAAATGCCAAAAGGTACATTAGGTTAAGGAAATTATGTATGAAGGAGTCTGGCGATAAATTACTGTTGCATTTTTCTGAGTTGAATTGCTTATGTGTCTGTATAAATTGCTAAGCAGAAAATAGGCTAAGAGCATTAAAACTTTAGTTAACTCTTATTTCCTCAGGTCTATGTAATTTTAAACTTATTTAGGACAATAGCCCATTTGTTTTACAAATCACAGTGTTCATTGCAATATCTTTCAAGCTGAAAGCACTAAATCACTTTATATTATGGAGACCTGGAAGAATGCAGCATTATAGCTTGGCTGGCAGAACATGTATCAGTGAGATATTGATCTAACCAGGAAAAAGAAAAGCTGTGCTGAATGGACTCCACACTGCAAGGAGTGTTATCTGCAGGCTGCAGTGTTTGTTCAAATCCCATATTGCTGGAGGTGAGGTCATATATATATATATATATATTTTTTGCAGGCTTCATATGATTTTAGTGACAGTTATGGCCATTTTCTTAATCTGAAAGATTAAGAAAGTTGTTTGTTGAAGAATGTCTGTAGATAATTCCTTGACATCAGGAGTAGCTCACCTTTCTGCAGGAATGGGTTAAAATGGAATGTTGATCAAATGCTCTGACTTCTTAAGTATGGTTTGTCTATACTTCCAAACCTGTATCACAGAACCCCTCTGGACCCTTTGGCAATTCAAAGTATCAACACTGAGACAAAGGTGTAGCTGTCAGTCGGAGGGGATATTGTGTAGTTGCCTTAAGTAGTGTTTTCCTAGAAGACCCCTCAGAAGTAAAGAAACTGAAACAGAAGTAAGACATGAGTCTTAATTGGATTATGCTGAGATTAGGATACTGTGTGGCTCTGACTTCTCATCTCACTTTCAAAGACCGAGGAGACAGGTGCATCCGTAATTTGCATGGGGTCCAGGAAGGAGCCCTGTGGGAAAGACTCAGCTCTGTGTACAGTTAGCATTAGGCTGTTCCAATATGACTGATTGACATGGACTGACTGACAGAAAGGATTAAAGTCCTGGAAAGAGAACAACAGAAGTCATTGCCAGGAGGGAATGAAATACTGTAAGGAAGTTAGGAATCTGCCATGCTGAGGATAAGGAAATAGAGAGCTGTGTTTGAACCCATCTTCATTTTGTCCCTTAGGAATGCATGTGCTATCTGGAAGGATAAACTAGAATAATCATATCACCAGAAACATAAGTGAGTCAGCTGTTCGATTCACTCCTACTACCAAGAGTAGACCTCTAGAGGAGCAGCATATGCATGGCAACTAGACCTCTGCTCCTGGCGTAGATGTGGGCCCCTGGTCAGTTTTCATAAGTGCTTATTAAAAGAATAATGGAATGGTCATCAGCAAGCTCCTGTTAGGGATCCACTTACTGTCCTGCTGGTACCTGTGCACTCTATGATAATTCATATTTGGAACTGTTTTATTCCCTTTATTGTATGCAGAGGGTATTTTGTGTGGTCAGAGATTCTTCCATGTGCCTGCCAAGTGATTATTCACCTTTTTATTCCAATATCCTATGTATAATTGCACCTACACACTCCCATACAAATCCTAATGCAGTGTATAGGCTGTGTATTGCTATTTAGTATGCTTTGTCTCCAGTTGTGTCTCTGAGCCCAGGTCCCCCTCCATAACATCACACTGTGCTATTTCTCCAACATGCTGGCAGACACAGAGCTAACAGGAAGCCTAAACAGAGCATTTCCCTTTGGGTTGAGCGTGAGGGGGCTTCTTCTTCCTCTCTCATGTCACACTCTGCTTGGCATGCTCTCCAGTCCTCTAAGGAACAGATGCAGGAGCACATTTACAAAGCAGGACTACGATGAGCGGGCACCCGCGAGGCTTGAGATGTGCCCAGCCTCCTCCCTAGGCAGGCTGCCAAAGCAAAGCTCCCTCATGTAATAGCTTGGGCAGATAATGGGTAGACACAGGAGGAACAAATCAGGAAGCAAACTCACTGTGGGCCTGATTCCCATTTAGAGGGTGAGACATCCACAGTCTGGGATAGTGAGAAATTTATGGAATGGGCTCTTTTTTCCATTTCTACTCTCTTCTTTGCTGTGGTTCCTCAAACACCACTTGGTGCACAGAGCTAGGGAAAAGCAACAGAGCTTCTGAAATGGCATTTGGCTAAAACACCCAGCCAATCTTCTATTTTTATTTAATTTTCATATCAGCAGTATTTTATTAAAACCATTAGTAAAATACAGAGAATATCTAATTTTAGAATGACAGCATTCAAACCATCCGTTACAAATTGATTTTAATTAATGTGGTTTGTCATAATTAATAGGTTATTTTGACTCTCCACAGTAGCCTTCATAGTGGTAGATGAGGACCTGAGGTCCTCTCTCCCACAGCTTTGCAACTGCCAGGTGTTACATTACAATGGAAGTAAGTCTTAGCTTGAACTCTTCTGTGCTGCTGTGGAATGAATTATCGGTCTCAATTCATCCCTTCCCAGTAGTATTAAGCACAACCTAGCCATGCTTCATAGTGGGTCCACAATTTCCCCACTTTTTGATTTGGGGTTCAGATGTGTAACTTGCTTTGGTCAATGGGGAGTCTGCAGATAATTGGAAGTAGAGGCCTGAAATGGGCTCATGAATTGGAATTGCTTTCTCAGTTTCTGTCACCACCATGAGAAGAACGTATGCCAGATAGCTGCTGCCAATTCATTGAAATGAGACCCTCAAAGTACAACGCGTAAATGCAAGATCAGCTGAAATTCAGCTAGCCCACAATTCCCTAAGTCATGGGAAATATGGTGTAGGTCACTGATATATCAAGCTTGTTGCACGTTATTGTGGTAATAGTTAATTGACGTACATATATACCAACACATACCAGCAAGTAAGCACACAGAAAATTATACAACCAATTCTTTCAGGCACTCCACCAAGCACATTGCAGATGTGAAAATATGATCAGGGCAGGATTCTGCTCACCTGATTGAAATTCAGGGATAGATCCCTCCCTTAGTAGACTGTCCATATGTCAGGTACACACAGCTGGGATAATACCTTTATCCTAGTTGTGTAAAACCAGAATAAATAATATGGACTTATAGTTTATCTGATCTAGGCCGAAGTCTTTTAAAGTAAATTATAGACAATATGGCATTATATATCTGTCTATCTTATCATCTACTCATCCTTCCATCATTCATCCATCCATCTATCCATTTATCCATCCATCCATCATCCATCCATTCATCATCCATCCACTCATCCACCCATCCATCCATCTATCCACCCATTCATCCACTTATGAATCCAGGCACTGTTGCTTTCCACAGTCATGTGGGAATGTAAACATGACCAATTAAAGCTGAGTCAGTGCAATGTGATTTTAATAATAAATAGGAGAAATTATTATTGCCCCATGACCTTTAAACATTTTTGTCAAAACATTGAAAATGCTCTTACCATTAGATATAGAGAAATAAAAAAATAGAAAGACTAATATTTATTTAGTAAAATGTAATTTAAGATACTAGAAACATTAAGAATTTAAGTATTTTATTTCTTTATTAAAATCTTATCAGGAGCGGTTTGAACAGGGCTTGGCTTTTTCTCATGGTTATGTAATCTGTAGTATGGAGGGAATGAGTTTTTTAAGCCTTGGCAAATTGCCATACTCCTTTCAAAGACTGGATGAGTTTCCAATATCTTATCCTTTTGAGATTTTCATGGTGTGAAATATCCCCAAGAGTTTTCTTAATGTGAAGATTTTTTTGCTGTCCTCCCTCGCTGCCTCTGGAACATTTTTTTTCATCCTTCTTGTCACTACCACTTTCCATATTTATATCAATAACTTTCCCTTTACTAAGTTCCTCTAGCTGCATAATGGAAGCTCCCAAATGGCAGAAGTGCCAATATTTCCAAGGTCACCTAGTGCTCCTATAATTTCATTTACATTTAATTCAAATTCCACTTCCAGATTTATTACTCTTTGTTTCTTTGTTGTTCTTTCATCTTTATTGACCAGTTCCCTTTTTCAATTGTCCATTTGATAAATGAGTTTATCCCTGGGGGAAAAGGGGGCAACACAGCTACACACTTGCCGTCTACTCATGAACAAATATATGCACAGCAACCAATCGCTGACTGACTTAGAAAGAAGTGATGTGATTGGTCATTGGTCATGAATCTGTTATTTACATAGTGATTTGTTGACTGAAGAGCTAGCAAAGAAGTTTGTAGCTTATGTAATTACTTGCAATTAAGGTAATGGAGTAACTTAAATTTGAACTGTGTTGTTGGGTGACTGGTGTTATTTAATTAAACTGTGCTCAGTGAGGACTGACCATATTTATTTGTCCCTCTCTCACTCTGTGTGTGTGTGTGTGCATGTGGTTAAACTATGGATTTCTAAGTCTTTTTTCCTATAAAGGTAATAGCAATGCTTTATAGCTGCTGGATATGGTCACTTAAAGAATTTGCTATCAACCCCTTAGAATCTGTTATCAACCCTTTAGAATCTGTAGTCTCTGTTTCCAAATCACAGGCTCTGTAACTTTTCTCATTCTTGTCTTTCTGTGAGTCTCCAATGTCAGGAGAACTGCCTCTCCTGTGAGCTTTGTGCCTTCCTGTTGTGTCTGTCATCCTTCTCCCCAGCATGGGGCAATTGGTGTCCCTCTGGGAGTTTTCAGATAGTAATTTGCCCATCTTGGAAGGAAATGGTCTCCCTTTGGCCTCCTTACTTTTCTCAGGGTGTCTGTTCTCTTCTTGCAAATGTCTAGACTCCTAAGACTATTGCCTCCACAGCCTGGAACTTTTAATGCTAATATTGTATAATCTGGTTTGCCAGACCTCATGCCTGGTTTAGAATGCTCATCGGGAAGAAAAAGGTGCTCCCAAATTATGTGGATAATCTTGAAGTTGAATTATTATTTAGAATACAAAATGTATACATTGAAAAGCAAACTCATCTTGTAAGGAAAGGAAACATTTGCATTTCATAGTGAGAACATGGTTTGTCTAAGCAAGAAATAAAATTAAACATAGTGAGCCAATTAGGAAGAAATGATCTGAATATGTATCATTGTGACAATATTAACTCATGACAATTTCTGCTTGTCCCATTCAGTATCTTTTAGACATTTCTAATCTAGAGTCAGTGCAAAAGCCACTGGCCAGCTTCTAAATGCCAGGGTTTTAAATGCCTGTCAAAAATGAATTTGTTACCTTATTTTTTACAAGGACACTTTGTAATGCAAAAGGGCAAAATACCATACTCTCCCAGGAAATATGTGGTAAGGAGGCTAAACCAATATTTTTCTTTTTAAGATAGATAACATCCCTCTTCACAAAGAGAAAAGAGTAACTGTTGTCTCCTCTAAACTATCTTTCAGACGTTTAATGAGAGCCATCTTATCCCAGCGAGTAAAAGGCAAATACCAGCTGCCTCCTGAGAGAGGGGCAAAGAAAGGTCAAGGAAGACCTCCTGCTGCTGGCTTTGGGGGCATCTGCTGTTTTTCTCACCCACAAAGGGCAGTCTGTCTTTGAGCACTTACAGTGTATGCAAGGAGAGTAGCCCAGTTCTGACCTGTCAATCACTAGGTTAGACTCTCTCTGAAACTCTCCTTTAGGCAATGGCATCTAATCTATGCAACAGTCAGAGTGCCAGACACCCAGGGCTTGGGCTAGGCTTGCAGGGCTCGCTGGAGTGGCCCTTGGATCTTAGAACTAACAGAATCAAGGGAAGTGGGAAAGCCAAGGCCAGACTCAGCAGCAGTAGTCCTGTGAAAGAGCTAGACTATGGGGAGAGAAACCAAATAGGAGCTAACAGGTCAGCTGTGGACAGCAAGAGAAAGAGAGAGGTTTTGGAATGAAGGGAAGTGATTACAATCTAGGAAGGTTACTGAAAACCCAGGGCTTGTTTTTCAATACCTTTTGTTAGGTCAATATAGCCTCTCCCAAATTTTAAAAGGAGTTTTGAAGAGGGCTAAGCTAATTTGAACAAGTGAGATCAAACAACTTTGGTTCCAACTGGGATCTTCTAGTCATCTTGGCTTCGTGTATGTGTGTGTGTGTGTGTGTGTGTGTGTGTGTGTGTGAGAGAGAGAGAGAGAGAGTATGAGTGTGTGCCTGGCAACGGTGAAATCAGTAAGAGGTTAACAAGTTCTTTTGTTTCCCCAGTTGAATTTAGGCATAGTAAGTAAACAAACCGACATTTTAACATGTGCTTCAGAAAACGGGAAAGGTAAAAGTCACTTCCAAAAGGCCCAAGAAATGTGCACATTTATAGCAAAGCAAGGGTGAGTGGAATTTGAGTACATAATATAGAGAAGCAAACCTATGGTAGTACCAAAAATTCCGCCAGTGATCATTCCTGGGCTTCAGGACCTGCCATGATGCCCTGGAAATGAGGCAGAAGGAATCAGCTTGAGCTGCTTTTCCGACTTGATGAAGGCATTCCTCCTACTGCAAGTTTCTCACCCCCACTTAAGTACAGAAGGAAGCAGGATACACCAATTGCTTAGAGTATTTCCAAAGGATTTAATGCAAGACTGTATTGAAATATGCTTTAACAACTTCTACAATTTCTGAGACTATGACAAGTGATAGTTAATTTTGACATTGCTGACTGTGGCTGCCATTTATTCTTAGCACAGTTATTCATTGTACTATCTGGAATACATGCCTCCTTTTTAGTTAAATTAGAATCATGATAATTAACAAATATTTTTCATTGAAAAAGTACATTCACCTAATAAGCAAAGAAACATAAAAGACCAAAATGACTACTGCTATGATGAAAGACAGGATAATTTTTTTATTTGTTCTAGACGTACCAAATAGAAGGGAATTACACCAACTCAAACCCAGGGCACATGTAAATAAATAAAAGTATAATACAAAATATCTTTCTTAAGATGTCAGAAGAAAATTTAGCTATTCTGAAACTCAACAGCAGAAACTGTTGTATTTCCCATACTAGGAGTATCAATAGGCAAGTGTCTTAGTTCGAGCTGCTATCTCAGAATATTATGCATTGGGTAGTTGATGAACAATAGAAATTTATTTCTCACAGTTCTGGAGAGTGGATCCCTGAGATCAGGGTGCCTACATGGCCTGGTTCTGGTGAGGGTCCTCCTCCAGGTTGCAGACTGCCAACTTCTAGTTGTGTCTTCACTGGGCAGAAAGATAAATGTCTAAATCCCTTCCTCTTCTTAAAAAGACACTAATCCTATCATAGGGGGTTTACCCACAAAAGCTTCGCCTCTTAGTACCATCTAATTGGGGGTTAGAGTTTCAACATATTAATTTTGAGGGGACACAAATATGCAATCTATAACAGCAAGGCATTGAGAGTGGAGATTTATATGAGCCAAAGCAGAATCACAGACAAATCATCAACATGGTTGTTGGCACATAGGCATTTGCTAATTGTTTCCTTTATTTAATTTAGCATTTGGAAATATATAAATTTATCTACAGAAATAGGATTATGGAGGCATCTAAAACTCCTCTGTTGTACTTCTATGCCATTCAACAAATACCTGCTCTCTGAAAGCCTTCAAATTGATGTCTGCCCTTAAGGGAGATGAATGGGAGAAGATAACTAGCAGTGAGCAAACACTATATCTGATCGTTTACAGATATTAAATAATTTAATCGCTAGAAAAAGAAAGCAAAGCATAGATAACATATATAATTATCCCACTTTTAGAGATGCAGTTCAGAGAATTTAAGTGATAAAATTATCTAGTAATAAACAGCATTGTCAGTAATGTTAGTAATAAAATCTGAAAATACTACCACTTATCAACCACACACCACGCAGAAGGACCTGGGCTAAGCACTAGATGTATATTTTATCCTCTCAGCATCCCTGGGTGTTGGCTACTGTTATTTAAATTGCATAGGTGAGAATATGAATGGTTCCTAAGAACTGTGCTTCTCAAAATTTTATCTACATACAAATAAACTACTGATCTTGTTAAAATGCAGCTTCAGATTCACTAGGTCTAGGTAGAACCTGAGGTTCTCTGTTTTTAACAAGCTTCAGATGACACACATGCTGCTGATCCATGGATCAAACAGAAAAGCTGGGGTTGAGAGGTGAAGTAACTCGGTCAAGTACATGAGGCAGATTCTTTTTTTTTTTTTTTGAGACAGAGTCTTGCTCTGTTGCCCAGTCTGGAGTGCAGTGGTGTGATCATAATTCACTGCAACCTCAAACTCCTGGGCTCAGGTGATTCTCCCTCCTCAGCCTCCTGAGTAGCTAGGACAATAGGCATGCACCACCACACCTGGCTAATTTTTTTTAATTTTATTTTTAATAGAGATGAGGTCTTGCTATGTTGCCCAAGCTGGCCTGAAACTGCTGAGCTCAAGCCATCCTGCTGCCTCAGGCTGCCAAAGTACTGGAATTAACCAGCATGAGCCACCATGCCTGGCCCAGATTGACTCTCAGTGGAGAAAAGATCAAACTGTTATTTGTTTAGTTCAAAATTGCAAGTGCATCTTGCCACCCTGTGCTATCTCTTCCTTGGGTTTGGCAATTCAGCTTAGTGGGGAGAATGAGATGTGCACAAGGATGACTATGAGACTCAGTACTAATGGCAACACACTCTCAGACAGAGGCAAAGAATTCCACCACCGTCTCTGCCACTCAGGGCTTCCTGGAATGCAGAATATCTATGAGTAATTCCAAATGGATAAATGAGGATGATTCCCAAAAAGAGGTGTCTGGTAAGCTAAACCTAGAAGACTGAAGAAGATTTTACACATAAACACATAAGAATGTATATGTGCATGTATTTATATATGTTATATTGTATACATATGCAATATAAATCTATAATATACAAAATTTATACATACACATGTATATGGGTGTGTAGCTATATATAATGTATGTATATAAATTATATGTATATATGAATATGTATGTGTATATTCACACACACATTATATATAGACACACACATATACATATATTTTGATATCTATCTTTTGCTTCTAGATAGAGAGAAGTATGCACAGATTCTATACAGTATGAGGCAGGATCACAGGACAGCTTGGTATTTTGAATGTACTTTGATTCCACAGATCATGTAGATCACACAGTATTTTCTCTTCCCTTCTCTTACATGAGGGGCACCCGGATATAGGACACTTAGAGTAGCTTATTGATTTGCTTCTCTACTTGTTAGTAAAATTTTTAATAATAGGGGCTATGGAATTCTTGATCTTAGAATACCTAGGGCCCTAGATCTTGTCAATTCACAAAAATAATTCATTTGAATTATTTGATGTTCTTATTTCAGTTTTATTTGAATTAAATTGCTTTTGATATTTGCCTTTAGTAATTCAACCTCATTTTCTTAAGATTTATAAAGTTTTTATTTGGCATTAATTTGGAAAATCAGATATCGTAATTAATTTAAAGTCATAGAAAATAAAAATATGAGAGCACCTAGAAGTTTGTAAGATGATGTTCTATTGCTTTATTGGCTTTACTCAGTTATTTAAAACAAAGTTTATATGCAATAAAATTAGTATAAAATCCAACTGATATTGAGAAATATCAACAGTAATTAATCAAATTAGGTTTCTATGATAAAACCTCATTATTAAATTTGATTTTATTTATGTTGACATTTTCTAAGAAACATCTTTAGAAAGAAAGCATTTGAAATCTTCTGATTATAAATATTTAGCCTCTTATGTTATCATAAGAGGCATATCTATTTTAAAGAAGCCACTGAGAAGCTGTACATTAATTAAGAATACTATTTATTAAGAATAAATAGTCATAGAAATAAGGGTGCTGGTAGTTATGATTCCCCAAATAGAATGTCACTTCTGTTAACCACAATATTCAGCCATGAACCTTCTGAAATTTCAGGCCAAGAAGAAAATAAAGTCATGTCTATAGCTGTGCCTAGTTAGTAATCAGAAGGTTGAGTTTGGGGGAAAAAACAAGCTTTTCTCCTTTTCTAACCAAAGAAGTTGTTTTTATTTGGTGTTTGTTTATTTATTTTCAGCTGTTGCTCAAGCAGGTTCCTCAGGTACAGACTGACCCACACAGTATAACAGGCCAGATGGTACGACTTTAGAACTTTAAGTCATATTTACTATGTGAGAATTTTTTTACTCATTTATTTCCTTCTTCATCTTTCCAGGGACAGCCTGTGAATTGTGCAGTGAATTCTTTCAGTATCACTAACCTGAATCTTTTTATAATATCCTCTTTTACCTAAATTTTAAAAGAAATCAATAAAACTTTTAGTTATTATTTGGCATTCAGAATTAGATTCAAATACGTCTATGTGGGTGCCTGTGCGTGTGTGAGTGTGTGTACCTGCTGGTAAAGACACTGAAGACATCATTCCAGCAAAAATTGATCACTGTGTTTTTGGATTTGGTCCCAAGTTATTTTCTGTGAGATCCTCTTTCTCATTTTTGCTTTTGATTTTGACAGAAATGACAGCTGAAATGTATCTCAATAATTGAGTTTTTAACTTTTTTTAAAAAGATAGCTTACTCAAAGCAACTGTTGTTCATAGCTGTTGTAATTTAAAGGAATCTATGTGATCTTTGCAAAAATAACTTTCCTAGGATGAGGTCAAGAATGAGTAATGTACAACCACAGAAAAGACGTGACATGCCTTCTTGTCTGAAACACGTGAAGACACAAGGAAGCCTTCATGCTAGGTAATTATTTCCAGAGGAGCTTCCATGGGACTTCATAAAAGCATTGACTTAATGATGAAATATTGACTCTATTTTCTCAGTGAACACTCTATTCATTTGAGCATCCCATCATTCAAACCTTGTAAATCCTTTCACAGTCTTCGGGAATAGGGTCCAGATTGTCATCCGCATCTTGTCTTCAGCAGCAAAAAAATACACACTCCTCCCCCACTCAGAGAAACTGCCCTTTAGCCAACATTTTGTGTCATTTAATTATTTGCAAGATTCATTAATTGGCAACAGCCCTTCCAGATTTTCCTTAGAATTAACAATATTCCACTATAATTTATAGATTATGTGTCACTCTTCTTCCTCAGCTTGAAAAGGGCATACATATTTCAAAATCACTTTTGAATCTTGAAATTTAAACATTTTCCCCAATGACATCTATTTTAATGCACATGATTTAAAACATGAGCTTTTGATATAAAATAAAGATAGTTTGAAAGAAAAATAGCAGCCTCTAAGTTTTCATATGGTTCTTCCTCCTGGGGATATTTCTAGAATTGAAAACACTTAAGAGGGTGCAGAATTCTTTGTCGAGTGCTTGCTTTTGCTTATTTAGAAATAGAGGGACAATGGCAGAGAGGGGTATGAACTCTCCTTTATCAGACCTGCCTTCTGGGCTCATTTCTATATCTTATCAATAATATGACTTTGGACATACAATTCCAAATCTCTAGGTCGTAGTTTTCCCATCTGTAAAATGGGAAAACCCTCAACCTCAACAAATTTTTTGGGGGGTTAAAAGTGAACTAATATATGAAAAACAATTTTGTATGCCCTGAATTATTTATGGAATTTTGTAACTTGAGGTTTGCTGACCTAAGTTGTGAGGTTAAAGGTTTAGATATTGGAATTATACTAACTTCTAGGCTGAAAGTGAGCTCTGCCATTCATGCTCAAGACTGTTTGCTTTCTGACATTTTAGGTTTTTATTCTTTCCAAGTATTTATCACAATTAGGGAGAAGGCATTCAAACCTTAGTATAAATGGTTAATCTGAATACAGACTAGGAAGACTTGGGTCATTCAAATTCACAAACCTGTGTAAGACTGCATTGCTCACCCCTTCGGGATGGTTTTTCTTGGTACTCATTGGACTGCAAAGGGTAGCACGGTACTGTGCCACCCCAAGACGACCTTAGTAAGAAGCCTGGGTAGGATGCAGCTGTTCAGGGGCTAGTGTCTGCTGGGACTATGAGGTTCTAATTTAACCTCACCTAATGTCTCACTTCTATTATTATCCAATTTTACAGCCAGTCCATGTGAGGCACAGCCTTGCCAAAGTTACATGACTAAATAGAGAAGCTGCGATTTAGAACCACATTTTCTCACTCCAAATCTTGCTATCTCAATCATTATATTGTACCTTATTTGCTGAATGAATGATTGAATGAATGAATGAAGGATGAATGGGTAATAAATAGAGAGACATTTTACTACATAAAAGCTTTCCTAAGTTATGGGAAAATATTTCTGAGATAGTTATTTCTGTATATTTGCTAAGGGATTAGTAATTTTCAAAGTTAGGATGCCACATGTCATAACTGGAGTCTATTACAGTTAATCTTATGGGGTCTGAGTTAATGCGCTATAATGAACATGGTTGTAAACAGAAAGGACACCCATTTTTGCATTAAATGCCATTAGCTGGTCTGAGAGCACCTTGAGATTATGACATACTCCTCATTTTGCCATTTTTTTCCCTGTCAGCATGGAGCACAGGTTCTGGTAGAGCGAGAGTGCTTTACAAAGACTTGCTGAGGATGAGTGGATTAAATCTTTCACTCATCCAACCGCTTAAGTCCCTGCTGCACTGAGTTAGGAGCTGGGTCTAGAGTGGTGAGAGAATGATCCACAATTTCTGTTCTGATGAATATTTGGAACAAATGAAGGAGTGCTCCAAAGGAAATTGGGATGGTGTGTGGTTGAGGACAATGAGGGTACTAAACAAAGTGAAAAAGACCTCAGAAAAGTGGTCGAACGAGGCCTCTCTTGGCAAGTCACATATTATATTAGATATGTGAAGGTGATGTTTGAAGGAAGAGAGTGAATTAGAAGGATGTGTGCATACCAGGGGCAAGCGCATCTAAGGGAGAGCAGCCCTTGCAAAGACCCTGTGCTGAGAGTGGCATGCTTTGCCTGAGAACCTCAAGAATGGCCATGGTGGCTGGAACAAAGTGAGTGAAGGGTAGAGTAGGAAGAGATCACGTGTTAATGGCATGACAGAGATTGTTCATGAAAGTACCTTTTCTATCTTTGGAATGATCTCAGTAGTTTGTTTTTTTTTTTTTTGAAATGGAGTCTCGCTCTGTAGCCCAGGCTGGAGTGTGCAGTGGCATGATCTTGGCTCACTGCAACCTCCCCCTCCTGGGTTCAAGTGATTCTCATGCCTCAACCTCCTGATGCACACCTGAGTAGCAGGGACTACAGGTGTGCATCACCCCACCTGGCTAATTTTTGTATTTTTAGTAGAAACGGAATTTTGCCATGTCGGCCAGACTGGTCTCAAACTTCTGACCTCAGGTGATCCACCCGCCTCAGCCTCCCAAAGTGCTGGGATTACAGGCGTGAGCCACAGCGCCTAGCCTGGAGTGATCTCATTCTTTTTGCTTAGAAAGATTATTAAAATATTTCGCAAATGATTGGACCCTGAGTAGATTGGCAAGTTAACTTACAGAACTAGGTTTGAGAAAGTTTTTCTCTCAGATTTGAATTGATTTGCTTGAATCATTTTTTTTTCTAATTTTGTCCAACCATTAGCTCTGGAATATGGTACATTAAAAACAATTTGCATTGCTCCATTGCTGCTAATATCAAGGTCAATATTGTCAAAAGGCATGGAGATAGAAGGTCAAGATGATGCCTCAAACAGCATCAGTAATTTAGGACAGCCTGTCACAAGAGTTAAAGTGATTGATAAGCAGGAAGAAGTATGAACAATTCATTATAAAGGGGACTGGATGACTTAGATGTTAAGCCTACTTTAATTTTCTGCATAGCAATTATATTGCTGATTCACATATGAAAGTATTAGGAGACTTGGGATAATTGCAGCTGAGGACACATCTTTTCCATTGTTCGTGGGACATAACTAAATTCTCTGATAAATTAATCATAGAACTTATGGGAAATAATTTAAACAGCAACAACAATGATAATACCTCATATCTCTACAGCACATTGTTGCCTTCAGAGCACTTTCAGGTAGGCCATTAGACAAACCAGTGAGGGAGAAAAAGACTGGCCTGGGAAAGTTAAATGACCCTGGTTCCACTGAAAGTTCATGGAAATGCAGATCTTGTGTTAATCATGTCTTCTCCTTCAGTCACTTCTCAATTCTACCTCAAAAGCTCAGACTCTTAAAGGTTTCACACCTTGCCTTGCATTATGTGCTTGAAGCCCAGCAATAACACTGGAACTTGGGTAATGCAGATATCGATTGCCCAATTTACAGACAAAGAAACTGAGTTGCAGGGAGGTAATGTGACTTCAGTCAGAGAAAGTGATAGAATACTACATTCTGACTCCTGAGGATTTTTTTTCTTATTAATATTTTGAGTACATAAAAATTGTCTAATCCCATGAGCTTGGGAGCTTGTTGACTTAGAAACTAGGTCTTTTGTACATTGAGACAGGTACCGTTTTCCTCTATCCAAAGACAAAATTGAATTATTTTCTGTTACGACTATTCTCTAGGATGTAATTTATTTTTAGGGACCTTTCATTTCCAGACTTCCAGAAGATTCAAATTGGAATCTTCTTATCATCATTACTATTCTTTTTATTATTTTCATATCCAGGGTGTCTATAAATCCTCTTATTTTTTTTCTTGTTCTACTTTCCCCAGTAAATAACCTTTTGTAAGAACCACCCACCCCCGCCCCCACCATTCCAGTGTCTTTTTATTTTATTTTTTTTCCAGTGTCTTTTATTTTGATCCTGCTTCAATTTTAGAAGATCACAATAAGAAATAACATGGGGAGAGCAGACCTAATAGAGATTAGGATCCATCATTAGACATAAATGAGACACAGAAGAGAACAATTAAAATTGGAATCCTACAGGTATGAACTGTTACCATATAATGTTTTTTTAAAGGTGTTAGCCTTTCTCATCCTTAAATTGCCTTCAACAGGAATTCTCTTTTTGGAATATGTAAACCATGGGTGGGATACAGAAGTAACCTACTCTAAATGGAAGGGCAAAGTGGTGATAAGATTGGGTTTTTGAATCAGATAATCTTGAGTTCAAACCTCAACTCTATCACTTATGAATTTGTGATTGTGTAAAAGTTAAGGAACCTCTGTGTGGTAGTTAACTCTTCTGTCAAATGGGAAAATGACTTTGTCCCTCATAAAGAAGGTGTGAAGAGAATAAAGACACACAAAATAATGCCTTACTGTGCTTAGTTTAGCTTACAGATGGATTTATGTCAACCCTAGATGTGCGTGGGTGGACAGCTGATCACTGTTATTTTGCTTTTATGACTACTGTATACTGAACGCTCACTCTGCCAGGCAATCTGAATGGAGCTAGACATTCAGTGGAGAATGAAAGACATTAGATCCCTCTCCTCATGAAGTTTACATGTTAAAATAGAAAAATATAGGCCGGGTGTGGTGGCTCATGCCTATAATCCCAGCACTTTGGGAGGCCAAGGCAGGTGGATCATGAGGTCAGGAGTTCAAGACCAGCCTGGCCAACATGGTGAAACCCTGTCTCTACTAAAAATACAAAAATTAGTCAGGCATGATGGTGCGTGCCTCTAGTGCCAGCTACTCAGGAGGCTGAGGCAGGAGAATTGCTTGAGGTGAGCTAAGATCACACCACTGCACTCCAGCCTGTGTGACAGAGCAAGACTACATCGAGAGAGAGAGAGAGAGAGAGAGAGAGAGAGAGAGAGACAGAAAGAAAGAAAGAAAGAAAGAAAGAAAGAAAGAAAGAAAGAAAGAAAGAAAGAAAGAAAAGAAAAAGAAAAGTAACAATTTGGAAATGTACTTCGAAGGAAACTAATAAGATGTTATTACAGAAAACAGAAAGGACAGGTACTTAAAGTGGTCAGAGAAGGCCTTTTGAGAGGATGCCCCAAAAAGAGTATACATCGTGTAATCAAATACTGTGGTCAAGACTGTTCAGCACAGTGCATATCCTGTGCAAAGGCTCTGAGATGTGATCAAAACCACTTAAAACTGATGTATCATCAAGGAGTTCATGATTCAATTCAACTCTCCTTAAGTAAAAGATGAATGTACCTTTTTCAGACATGATATTTTAACTAGCTCATGAAATAGATCAATTTAGCACAAGAAGTATCTTTTCACATGAAGTTAAATGGTTAAATTTATAAAGTTATTACATATTACAAATCTATACTCCAATTCTTGATGAACGTTTCAAGAACATGTTGACTTTTCTCAAGGAAAATGACAAAACTATACATTTCATATATATATTATATATATATATATATTCTTATTTATTTATTTATTTATTCTTCTGTGATTTTCCTCAGTGGCATTTGCTAATCATCTAGTCCAGGAAAGCTCTTGGGAAAACTATTTATGTAAGGTAGATACCATGATAATAATAACGCAAGAGAGAGGAAGTCACATAGACTAAGAGTGGTTCTGTATTTCCAAGGAGGAATACATTATTTATTGCTGAGAATTTATGAAAAATTTTGCAGAATAGGAAATCTATAAGTCCTAATTCTATAAACATGATGAGGAAACTTTTCCACATGTGGAATTTCATTTTAATAAGTGACTATATATAATGCCATATATCAGCATTATGCTTAGACTGGCACAGAGGGTGTCTGAAGGGAAATGATAGATGGGGAAACCTAGGTGGCCCCATGTAATAGGGGATCTGTATTTTAAGAAGTTTAGGCCTTTTTATTTTATGGCAGGGAGAATTCAGTCCAAAAACTATGGAAGGTTTACGGTTAGAATGAAAATTTTCTGAGCAAGTTATCAAGACTATCTACCAATTACTTCAATAATTAGGCCTAAAGTAAAGCATTTCTGAATTAGATAAGTCATTTTTATTTGTACAGAAGAACACTTCATTAATATATTTCAAACCAATGGCAGGTTTACAAGTTATTTAATAGTGGCATATAAGCATAAAGCAGTTGGAAGAAACCAATAGTGATTTGGATAATGCTTGTGTATATATTTTCAAACTTATTTATAAATAATAAATTAGCACTCCATTAAGAACACATGAGATCATGATTTGGGGAGTGGAAAGGGAGGGAACCCATGCCCGGATAAACAAAGAGTCTAATGAATCTAATGAGTCTGAGCTGGGTAGAAAATATTAATAGTAGTCAACATTCTTTCATGAAGGACGTGGGATAAAAATGTGTCCATTATTTGTGCTGGATGCTGAGTGGTCTGGATGGCTCATTGTCAGAAAAAACAACTTTCTTCACTGCTTTTTTGTTCTAGTAACTCTTGCTGTATAATACGTTAGCCCAAAACTTAGTGGTGTGAAACAACTGTTTTATTTTGCTCATGATTTTTGGCTTATGAATTATAAAAGAACCCAGGTGGACAGTTCTCTCTTGGGATCCCTCACACTGTTGCAGTCAAACATTTTCTGGGCTGTGGTTGATTGGCCTGCTCATATAAGATGGTTTACTCAGGTGGCTGGCAGTTGATGCTGGCTGTCAGCTGGAAACTCAGCTGGTGTTGTCAGCCAAAGCATCTACATGTGGCTTTGTCAGCTTTGTATTCTTAAAATAATCAGACTTCTTATGTGGCAACTGGCTTCCCACCCTGAGCAAGCGCCCCAAGAGACCAGAGGGTAGCTGAGCCTGCATGGTCTTCTGTGACCCAGCCTTAGTAGTCACCCAGGGTCAATTCCTTCATACCGTATTGTTGAAAGCAGTTAGTCTACCCAGGCCCAAAGAGAAGAAACATAGAGTCCAACTCCTTGTAAAAAGAGAATTAAGGTTTTTGTTTGGTAAAGATGATGACTGCTACAGATTTCTTAATGATTTGTGGTCATTAAGAAATCTATGGCTGGGCGTGGTGGCTCACGCCTGTAATTCCAGCACTTTTGGAGGCCGAGGTGGATCTTATCTTATGTATTATTATATTCTAAACATAATATAATGGGGACCATTTCTTAATGAAGGCATTGATAATGAAGACCTCAAAAATACATGGAGGGATGCCACGACATAGTTGAACTCTGATACATTATGTAAATGAAAGAAACCATTCAGAAAAGGCCACATACTGTATGAGTCCATATATACATATATATATATATGTATATATATATAAATAAAATGTCCAGAATACACAGAAACCACAGAGACAGAAAATAGATTAGTGGTGGCTAAGGGGTGGAGGGAAGGGGAAAATGGGGAATGACTGATAATAGGTATGGGATTTGGGGGAGAAGAGTGATGAGAGGTTGATGGTTGTACAACCTTCTGAATATTGTACAACCTTCTGAATATTGTAAAACCAGTGAATTGTATAATTTAAAAGGGCAAATGTTTGTGATATCCAAATGTATCTTTTCTTTTCTTGTATCTCAAGAAAAGAAGAAGTTCACAGATGAATTTCTAAAATCTCAAAATACTGTGTTATCAATTCCAAAATTAATATTCTTGCATACGTTAGCACTCTGGAATTAGTCTCATGATAGCTGTGTGATTGTTTTCTCTCTCAGTAGTACACAAAGTGATGTTGTATCATAAAATTCACTACATTTTAAAGTTGATAAAATATGGTATATTTCTGATTTTACTTATCACCAGATACAAAGGTAACTATTGCAAATCTGTATTTCAAAGAATTTACACTGGACAAATTGTTGGATAGATTTGCCTCAGGCTCCTGAGCAGCTGGGATTATAGGCACCACCACCATCCCTGACTAATTTTTGTATTTTTAGTACGGACAGGATTTCAGCATGTAAGCCAGGCTGGTCTCGAACTCCTGACCTCAGGTGATCTACCTGCTTCAGCTTCCCAAAGTGCTGGGATTACAGGGGATTACAAAGTGCTGGGCCGCTCCTGGCCCAGTGTTTTTTACTTGATATTTATAAGGAGGAAAGGAAGGAAGAAAGAGGAGAAAAAGAAGGAGGAAAGATGAGGGAAAGATAGGACAGGTGGAAGGAAAGACTGATTTTACCAAATGACGTTTGTTTGTTTTTGTCTACCTTAATTCAAAACAAGCTCTTGCTGGGAGGAATGGAGGCTGAGGAAGCCATGACCAAAAGTATAATTAGTATCACTGCAACGAGCTGGGGTAACCTCAGGCATGTCTCAGAGCCTCTGTCGTCCTCAAACATCAAATGAAGGCATCAACAATTGCAAACGTTCAAATCTACTGATATTTCCTCCACTCCTTAGTTGTTCTTTGTCTAGAAAACTCCAGCCTAATCTTTGGACTCTGAACACTCATCAGAAAACTATGATGTCTCTCTTAAGCTCTCAGACATTTGAGTATTTACTCTGAGTTCTAAGTGAATAACTGTTTGAGAATGAGTCCTTCACTAAATTGTAAGATGCTCCGGGGTCAGAAAAAGGCTATTATCTTCACAACTGTGGCTTCTGACAATTGTTTGGCCAAGTGCTCAGTTAGTATGAATGGAGGGAATTAAGGTGGGGCCTTAGCGCACCAGAAATTCCATATCTTAGGTTTTAGGTAACAGAGGCCTAAATTCTGGCAGAGCAGTAATAGAAAGAAAGTTAAACATGTGGCTGAGAGAAATCAAGAGAGATGGGAAAAAGAAAGCGAGATAAACTGAGTCCTTATTATAGGAAAAAGTTGATTCTATTAATCCAAGCAAAGTCAAGAAGAAGAATGAGTCTGGAGTATAATTCTCTGGAGTGGCATAGGAGCCATTAGCATGATTTTACGTTTCATGTGGATAACCATTTTAAAAATGTCAGTAGTTGTGTCTTAATGTGTTATAGTAAGAAAAAAAACTAACACATCAAATTTGTGATATTACAGTTAATGTTTCCTAAGAGTGGGCAAATAATGACAGGGAATTGTTTTAATTCAGTTGAAAGAATTATAATGATAGGTAAATGTAGGTATACATTGGGAACGTTGTGGTTTCAGTTTCCAGAGGTTTGAGACCACTGCAATAAAGAAAATGGTGCAATAAAGCAAGTGACTAGAAATGTTTGTTTTCCCAGTGCATATACAAGTTATGTTTACACTATACTGTAGTCTATAAAATATGCAATAGCATCATGTCAAAAAATGTACATATCCTAATTAAAAAACACTTTATTGATTAAAAAAAGGTAACAATCATGTGAGCCTTCAGTGAGTTATAATCCTTTTGCTGGTGGGGAGTCCTACCTCAATGTTGATGGCTGCTGACTGATCAGGGTGGTGGTTGCTGAAGGTTAGGGTGGCTTTGTCAGTTTCTTAAAATAAGACAACAATGAAGTTTACTGTATCATTTGACTCTTCCTTTCACAAAATATTTCTCTGTAGCATGTGATGTTGCTTAATAGCATTTTACCTACAGCAGAACTGCTTTCAAAATTGGAGTCAATCCTCTCAACTACTGCCACTACTTTATCAAATAAGTTTGTGCAATATTCTAAATCCTGTGTTGTCACTTCAACAATGTTCACAGCATCTTCAACAGGTGTAGATTTCATCTAACAAACAAACAAAAAAACACTTTCTTAGCTCTTCCCTAAGAAACAATGCATTATTTGTTCAACTTTTTCATGAGATTGCAGCAATTCAATCATGTCTTCCTGCTGTACTTCTAATTCTAGTTCTCTTGCCATTTTCACTACATCTGCAGTTACTTCCTCCACTGAAGTCTTGAACCCCTCAAAATCATCCATGAGAGTTGGAATCAACTTCTTTCCAACCTTTGTTATTGTTGATATTTTGACTATAGATCCTTAATAGTCTTAATGGCATCTAAAATGGTGAATACTTTCCAGAAGGTTTTCAATTTACATTGCCCAGATCCATCAGAGGAATCACTATCTATGGCACCTAGGGCCTTATGAAACGTATTTCTTAGATAATAAAATTTGAAAGTTGAAATTACTTTTTGATCCATGGGCTGTGGAATGGATGTTGTATTAGCAGGCATGAAATCAACATTAATCTTGGAGCTCTGGGGTGACCAGGTGCAATTGTCAATGAACAGTAATATTTTAAAAAGAATCTTTCTTTGTGTGAGCAGTAGGTCTCAATAGTGGGCTTAAAATTAGTAAACCATGCTGTAAACAGATATGCTGCCATCCAGGCTTTGCCATTCTATTTATAGAGCACAGGAAGAGTAGATTTAACATAATTCTTAATGACCTTACAGTTTCCGGAATGATAAATGAACCTTGGCTTCAACTTAAAGTAACCAGCTGCATTATGTAACAAGAGAGTCAGCGGTTCCTTTGAAATTTTAAAGCCAGTCATTGACTTCTCTCTAGCTATGAGGGTTTTAGATGGCATCCCTTCCATTAAAAAGCTGTTTCATCCATATTGAAAACCTGTTGTTTATTGTAGCCACCTTCATCAATTATCTTAGCTAGATCTTCTTGATTACTTGCTGTTCCTTCTACATCAACATTTGCTGTTTCACATGTACTTTTATTTTATGGAGATGGCTTCTTTCCTTAAACCTCGTGAAGCAACCTCTGCTGGTTCCCAACTTTTCTTCTGCAGCCTCCTCACCTCTCTCGGCCTTCATAGAATTGAAGAGAGTTAAGGCTTTCTTGTGGATAAAGCTTTGGTTTAGGGTAATGTTGTGGCTCGTTTGATCTTCTATTCAGACCACTAAAACTTTCTCCATATTAGCAATAAGGCTTTTTTGCTTTCTTATTATCTGTGTGTTCATTGGAGTAGCACTTTTAATTTTCCTCAGGAACTTTTCCTTTGCATTCACAACTTGGCTCAATGTTTAGCACAAGGAGCCTGGATTTCCACCTGTCTCAGCTTTTGACATGCCTCCCTCACTAAGCTTAATCATTTCCAGCATTAGGTTAAAAGTGAGAGAGAATGTGACTCTTCCTTTTGCTTGCTCACACAGAGGCGGTTGTAAGTTTATTAATTGGCCTAATTTTAATATTGTGTGTCAGGAAATAGGTAGACTGAGAAGAGGGAGAGAGAAAGGGAATGGCTGGTTGGTGAAGCAGTCAGAACACACATAACATTTATTGATTAATGTCACTGTCTTATATGGGCATGGTTTGTGCTGCACCAAGACATTTACGGTAGTAACCTCTTAAAGATCAGGATTACAGATCATCATAACAGATATAAAAATCATGAAAAAGTTTGAGATATTAAGAGAGTTAATGAAAGACACACAAAGACAGGAAGTGAGCACATGCCGTTGGTAAAATGGCACTGATATAAACTTCCTCGATGCAGGGTTGTCACAAACCTTTAATTTGTAAAAAACTCAGTATCTGCAAATTGCAATCAAGTGAAGCACAATAAAATAAGCTATACCTTTAGGGTCCAATCTGTGGAGAAAGGAATGAATAAATATGGTTATATCAATCAGGGTTCCCCCAAGAGACAAAACCAACAGAAGATATATGTGTGTGAGCACACAGAGAGAGAGAGATGATTGATTTTGATTTTAAGGAATTGACTCATATAATTGAGTGTTGGCAAGTTCAAAGCCTGTAGGCAGACCAGCAGGCTGAAAACAGGAAGGATTCTTGTATTACAGTCTTGAGGAAGAACTCCTTCTTTCTGAAAACCCTCAGTTTTTGCTCTTAAGGCCTTCAACTGATCGGATGAGGCTCACTCATCACCCATTATCAAGGATAATCTCTTTTATTTAAATCAACTGATCATAAATATTAATCAACTCTATAAAATACCTTATTAGCAACATCAAAACTACTATTTCACCAAACAACTGAGCACCATCATTTAGCCAAATTGACATTAAAATTAACCATTCCAGAGGGAAACATTTGGTGAGGTCAGATTTACAAATAATGAGTTGCAGATACTGCTGGATTATATGGGTAAAAATGCTCAGTGAAGTCTTAGAAATGAAAGCAATTCATGAGCAATCAATCTGCCTTCACTTTTTCACCTATTTTTATTCAGAAAGTCACTTAGTCTGGAAAATGTCGTTCATATGGTTGCATGCCCTATTGTTAAGTGAATGAGTGTTTCAAGGGCTTTCCTGTTAGGTTTATTTCATTTAGCTCTGTTGCAGCATTACGATGTAAGTGCTTACCACAAAGGTTTGCTAATGAGTGCCCTTAATTTGTATTCAGATGGGAGCAAAGAGAAGGAAAAATACACAAGAAGGAGTCTTGTAATTATGCTACATAAAATTATTAGGCAATTTAGAAAATTGTCAGTGGGAAACTGCCCATCATGCATAAAAATAATTTTGATTTTGATGTACAGAGTTTAATGTAAGAGTGATTGTAGGGAGACCATGTTATTAATTTTTCCCTTAATTATCCAAGCACACTTGAATTTATTTTAAGGAAAGTGATACTTTATAAAGTTGAGTCACGCTACTCCAGAGAATACTTGTTTTCGTTCTGTGACAAAGTTTATTTTGCAGGGCTTGCTGTGAACTGTATAATTGGTAGGACGTGAAAGAACCATTAATTATGTCCTTCCCCTTCCCCTAATCATAAATAACAAAATGATGCTA